>NC_000003.12:129766180-129917695 GCF_000001405.40 Homo sapiens | reverse complement strand
GGTCACGTGATTCTTGAAAACAAAATGCTTGTTCCTTGGTGCCACAAGGAAAAATTAGCATTCAGACAAAAAGTTTTCTCAGCAAGGCAATTTTACTTTCTGCAGAAAGGATGCTGCCCATCAGCAATTTTGCCACAAGAGCACGATGAATAAAGAAAGGCAGGAATATTTATCCCTTACACACTGGGTCCTTACTGCTGTGTCCTCTCTTCGTTGCTTGGAGACGGACCTCACAATCTAAGCTAAACTCAATTGGCTAACAACTTAAAACTTTCCTAAATAGGTAAAGGCAATGGAGAACAAAAGGAAAAGAGGAAGTTGCTTGCAAAAGGTCTTAGAAAAGTAATAACATTTCCAAATAAGGAAGGAAGAGGAAGTTAGTCTTTAAAAGAAACTATTACTTTTAACATTTATTATTTATTCTTTAACAAGAAGGGAAACTTTGAAGAGGAACTTTTTATTTTCCACACCGTCATGTTTCCTACACACCGTCCCCACTGCCTAGAGTTCCCCCCTTACTCTCCTGCACTGAGTGACTTCCTGTCCCTTCAGTCCTAGCTGAGATATCCGGTACTCTGGGGAGCATCCCTGAGCCCTGGACACAGAGGAGCCCCTTCTGCCCTGGATCCCAGAACCACTTGTGCTTTCCTCCTATCACAGTGCAGAAACTCCCACCACACACACACACAAACACAAACAGACACACACACACACACACACACACACACACACACAGACACCGGCACACATATTCACACACACTTGCCACCATTTGGGGACATTGATTACTGCCTGCTGGACCACCCCTCTCCCACCCCAGCCTCTCAGGGAGCCCCAGGCAGAGGTGCTGCTATTAATAGTAGGGGCCCTGTAGGTGCATTGGAGGTAGGGAAGGGAAGGGCTCCCCAGGAATACCCCTGCCTGGATGACAGCCACCCCATGGGGGGCACGGCCACCAGGAAACTTAGGTCTTGAATAAGCGGAGGCAGCAGGTACAGGCTGGAAGGATAAGGTGGGGCCAGATTCCCAGGGTCCCTAAATGCCAGGATGAGGTGCTTCTATTGTCTCCTGGGGTGCAAGCTTTGGAAGAGGCGGGGCCCATGGGGGCAGCACTGGGGAGGCCGGCCTGGAGGGACATGGCCACTGAAGGGGTGCACCTGTCCCTGTCCCTGATGGCTCAGCCCTCACTGGCACCAGGAATCCCTTGGTGGGGAATGGGGGGTGTCATGGCCTCCTGCCTGGTGCCTGAATACCCCGACATGTTCCACCCAGGATCCTGCACTTCTTCCTTCTTTTGTTTTTTTTTTTGTTGTTGTTGTTGTTTTCAAGACAGAGTCTCACTCTGTCATGCAGGCTGGAGTGCAATGGTGTGATCTTGGCTCACTGCAACTTCCACTTCCTGGGGCCAAGCTATTCTCCTGCCTCAGACTCCTGAGTAGCTGGAATTACAGGCGTGCACCACCACGCCCAGCTCATTTTTTGTATTTTTAGTAGAGATGGGGTTTCACCATGTTGGCCAGGCTGGTCTCGAACTTTTGACTTCAAGTCATCTGCCTGCCTCAGCCTCCCAAAGTGCTGGGATTACAGGCGTGAGCCACCGCACCCGGCCTGTACTTCCTCCCTCTGCCCTAATGTCCCCCAATGATTGCTGAGTCACTCAGGCTTCCTCCCCTTGAAGTCTCTGCTCCCCTCAAGCTGCTCCCCCTTGCAGACTCCCCCCTTGTTTTTGTCACCCACACTGCACACCTTCTTGTCATTGACTCACCCTTGCTTTCCTTTTTTTTTTTTTTTTTTTTTTGTGAGACAGGATCTTGCTCTGTCACCCAGGCTGGAATGCAGTGGCACGATCATAGCTAACTGCAGCTTCAACCTCCCAGGCTCCAGTGATTCTCCCACCTCAGCCTCCTGAGAAGCTGGGACTACAGGCTCATGCCACCACACCTGGCTAATGTTTTGTATTTTTTATAGAGACAGGGTTTTGCCATGTTGCCCAGGCTGGTCTTAAACCCGTGGGCTCAAGTGATCCTCCCGTCTTGGCCTCCCAAAGTGCTGGGATTCCAGGCGGGAACCACCTACTGACTGTCTTCACATAGGCCATCACCAAATTAACTTCCTCTGGGGCAGGACAGGTGTGAAGTCGGTGAGGGGAAGCAGCAGGGTGTGAGGAACACAGATGGAAGTGCTGTGCTAAACGGACCTGGCCCCTAGGTGCAGTGTCGGGGAGTAACAGGGCATGGTGGAGACTGTGGCAAACGAGTGCACGGGCCAGGTCTAAGGGCAGCCACCATGCACCTCTAGCTGATTTCTGTTGTTGTTTTTAACACACACGTGTGCGCGTGTGTGCGCTCTGTCCCAGGTTTGAGCAACCACTGATCTACTTTGTGTCTTTATGGATTTGGCTGTTCTGAACATCTTATGTAAATGGAATCATACAACGTGTGGTCTTCTGTGATTGGCTCTCTGCACTTCACACGTTTTCCAGTTTCATCCACATTGCAGCTTGTGTCAGTATTTCAGTCCTTTCTATGGCCAAATAGTAATCCATTGTATGGCTATGCCACATTTTGTTCATTCACTCATCATTGTTGGAGATTTAGGTAGTTTTCACCTTTTGACTATTATCAATAATGCTGCTGTGAACATTTGTACACAAGTTTTTGTGTGGACATGTTTTCATTTCGGTTGGGTATATACCCAGGAGTGGAATTGCTGGAGTCATGTGGAAACTCTGTATTTACCTTTTTGAGGAACGGTCAGACTATTTTCCCAAGTAGCCACACCATTTCACATTCCCACCAACAGTGTATGAGCATTCCAATATCATGACATGACAACTCAATGCAGTCATTGATCCTGGCCTGGATCCAGTATTGGAGGGGAAAAAAAAAAAGCTGGAGGGTTGCCAAGACAACTGGCCACATTTGGAATATGAACTGTCAATGAGAAGGTATCATTATCAATAATAAATCTACTGAATTTAATAACTGCACTGCAGTTATGTAAGAGAAAGTCCCTGCTCTTAGGAAATACACTGAACTGTGAAGGGTAAAGGGACATGATATATGCAATGTACTCTCAAATGGCTCAGAAAAAAAAGAGAGAAAGAATGACTAAATAAGTGCGGCAACATGGTAGAAATTGCAGATTCTGGGTTAAGGGTATACAGGAGTTATTTGGCTTACTCCTGAAAATATCCTGTAAATTTAAAATTCTTTTCAAAATAACAAGTAAAAATTTATTTTATTTTATTTTATTTTTTGAGACAGAGTCTTGCTCTGTTGCTAGGCTGGAGTGTAGTGGCAAGATCTCGGCTCACTGCAACCTCCAACTCCCTGGTTCAAGGGGTTCTCTTGCCTCAGCCTCCCGAGTATCTGGGATTACAGGCATGTGCCACCAAGCCCAGCTAATTTTTGTATTTTTAGTAGAGACGGGATTTCACCATGTTGGCCAGGATGGTCTCAATCTCCTGACCTCATGATCTGCCCACCTCAGTCTCCCAAAGTGCTGGGATTACAGGCGTGAGCCACCGCCCCCGGCCAATAACAAGTAAAAATTTTTTAAAAGTTTCTAAAACCACAGAGCTGCTAAGGGTAGAGCTAAGATTGATGAATTGATAGAGTTTTGAGACAGGGTCTCTCTGTTGCCCAGACTGGAGTGCACACTGCAGCCTCAACCTCCTGGGCTCAAATGGTCCTCCCATCTCAGCCTGCTGAGTAGCTGAGACTACAGGTGCACGTCACCATGACTGGCTAATTTTTTGGTATTTTTTGTAGAGGTGGGATTTTGCCATGTTGCCTAGGCTGCTCTCAAACTTTTGGGCTCAAGCCATCCACCCGCCTCGTCCTCCCAAAGTGCTAGGATTACAAGTGTGAGGCACCATGCCAGGCCTAGAGCTGAGATTTAAATCCAAGCTGTTTGGCATTCAGGAACTCAATGTTATCTCTCTAATCAGGTAGCTCAACAGCTCTCATTTTACAGAGGAGGACACTGAGGCCCAGCCTGTTAGTTGTGGCATCAGGACTGGTTTGTGGGGGCCCAGCCTGGTGAGCTTCCACCACTCTCTTGGACTGTCCTGTTGACAGGGCTGAAGGTCCTGGCTTGAGACAGGACCTGATGTTTCTCTGGTGCCCCTCCCACCACTTGCTGAGTTAGTTGGATCTCAAAGGTAGGATCCTGCTGACCTTGTCTCTGGATTACTGGACAACAGGGACTGAGAAAGTTATGTTTAATTAGAAGAGACACAGGCCAGCCTTCATGGACTTAGTTGTATCCCTCTCTGTCCCACCACTGTGACATCTGTGATATTGTCTTCCCTGCCCAGCACCCCCTTTTCTTCTGGGAACAACACCTTCTTTTGGGGACCTGTTCCTTTCTGCTTTCTAATCACTATGTAATTTCAGTGGGTGTTATTGGTCATACGCTCATGGCCACAGTTGATCGGTCTAGGGATGGGCATTGTACTCAAAATGGGCCAATCAGAGCCTTTCCCTCAGATTTGCTGGACTGGACTGACGCAGGATACAGGTTTTCTAGCATGAGGCTCAGGAACTAATGGCAGCCACATCCCCCATTATGGGGAGAAAGCTGATCTGATAAAACTAGGAAAAGCAGAGAGGGGAGAAAGTGTCCAAGGGCCCACTTGTCTCTGAGGCCCTCCCTGCACTTCCCAAGGCTATGTTCCATAAGCACACCAGCATTCTCCCAATAAATGGCTCTGATTTTGCATATGCCTATTTGCTTTGGATTTCTATCACTTGAAGACAAACTAGATCAATAAGCCTGAGATCCCAATCACTAGCAATCCTGACCGTGAGGCCCCGGCAGGGAGGATGTCGGAGTTCTGTTCCCCTGGAGCTGACTGGCTCACTGAGTGGTCTCGAACTCCTGAACTCATGTGATCCACCCACCTCGGGCTCCCAAAGTGCTGGGAGTACAAGCGTGAGCCACCGTGCCCAGCCACAAATCTTAAGAATACATTTCTGGCTGGGTGCGGTGGCTCACGCTTGTACTCCCAGCACTTTGGGAGGCTGAGGTGGGCAGATTACCTGAGGTCACGAGTTCGAGACCAGCCTGGCCAACATGGCGAAACCCTGTATCTACTGAAAATACAAAAATTAGAATTAGCCAGGTATGGTGGCATATGCCTGTAATCCCAGCTCCTTGGGAGGCTAAGGCACGAGAATTGCTTGAATCTTGGAGGCGGAGGTTGCAGTGAGCTGAGATGGTGCCATTGTACTCCAGCCTGTGCAACAGAGCGAGACTCCATCTCAAAAAAAAAAAAAAAAATTTCTGTAGACATACTTACCTGTGTAACCACCACCCAGATCAAGACACAAAACATTTCCAGCACCCAAGAAGACTACTGTGTACTTCCCAGTCAGTGTGCTTGCCCCCGCCCACTACTGTTCTAGCCTACCTCTGTCATCATAGGCTAGTTTTGCCTATCCTTGAACTTCATGTAATGGAAATGCACAGTGTGTGCTGTTTTGTGTCCAGCTTCTTCTACTCAGCACAATATTGGGGATGCCTAATCTGTAATACTGGCCCCTATACTCTTCATCTTCATGCTGCTCCTGGAATGATAGCTAGCATTTGTTAGGTATCTGGCACTGTTCAAGATCTTTACATTATATATTCATTTGCTCCTCATAGTACACCTATGAGGTAAGCACAAACGAAGACACTGGGGCACAAAGAGGTGAGGGAATTTGCCCAAGACACAGATCTGAAGTGGCATAATTAGGATGGGAAGGCAGGCCATCCACCTCCAGTCCATGCTCACACCTAACAGCTAGGGGATCTCATATGCACTTTAAGGACTGAGAGAGACTCTCCAGGTAGAGCTGAGTTTTTGGAGGGTCAAATGGGAAAACAGAAGTAAAAATGTACTAAAAAGAGAAAAGAGTTATACAAATATAAGTCAGGATTATACTTCATTTAATATGACTAGGACCACCATTCACTCATTTGTAAATCTTAATAAATATTAATTAAATAAATATTTAATTAATATTTATCAATATTTATTGATTTAATTAATATTTAATTTAATATTTATTAATTTAATTAATATTTATTGAGCTCCTAAAGATACATGGAGGTCAGTGGGTTCAGAATGACAGAGACAAAGTCCCTGCACTGGTGGAGCTTACAGTCCAGAGAGGAAGGCAGAAATGTAAGGGGAAGTTATGGGTATGTTGAGCTAAGAGGAAATTCAGAGTGTTTTGAGAGAATGTCATAAGAGCAGCTGACTTTGTGGGGTCAGGGAAGGCCACCCTGAGGAAATGACATTCAAGCTGAGACCTGAACCATTTAAGCCAACTCTGTTGGAGAGGAAGGAGTATCAGGAACAGGGAATAGCATAAGCAAAGGCCCTGAAGTAAGAAAAACTAGCACAATCATTAGAAATTTTAAGTCATATCACTTCTTGGCCTTTTGGCTAAGATGAAGTGTCGAAATTTTTTTTTTTTTTTTTTTTTGAGATGGAGTTTGTGGCCCAGGCTGGAGTGCAGTGGCATGATCTCTGCTCACTGCAACCTCCGCCTCCCAGGTTCAAGCGATTCTCGTGCCTCAGCATCCCAAGTAGCTGGGATTACAGGTGCAAACCACCACACCTGGCTAATTTTTCTATTTTTAGTAGAGGCAGGGTTTTACCATGTCGGTCAGGCTGGTCTTGAACTCCTGACCTCAAGTGATATGCCCATCCCGGCCTCCCAAAGTGCTGGGATTACAGGCATGAGCCACTGGGCCCAGCCGAGAAATTCAAAGTCACTAGTATATGATAGTTTTCTATACAACAGTTGTTTGTCTTACTTTCATGGAAATAAAATTCTTTATGGCAGTTTCAATGCTTCCTTGCTCCCACATATGATGATTACTAGATGTAACAGTCTTTTTTGGTCACTCTAGACCTTAATTCGTTTCTACTAACTTTTATTTGGTGAAGCTACATTCTTTCCTGGTTACCCATATTAGCAAAGTGAAATACACACTGAGAGACACAAAGTATTTGGAAATGTGATAAATTATTGCTGCAGGCCTGCTGCAGTGGCTCACACCTATAATCCCAGCATTTTGGAAGGTTGAGGCAGGAGGATTGCTTGAGTCCAGGAGTTTGAGACCAGCCTGGGCAACATAGTAAGACTCTGTCTCTATGAAAATAAATAAATAGGGTGGGCGCGGTGGCTCACGCATGTAATCCCAGCACTTTGGGAGGCCGAGATGGGCGGATCACGAGGTCAGGAGATTGAGACCATCCTGTCTAACGTGGTGAAACTCCGTCTCTACTAAAAATACAAAAAAAAAAAAAATTTAGCCGGGCGTGGTGGCGGGCGCCTGTAGTCCCAGCTACTCAGGAGGCTGAGGCAGGAGAATGGTGTGAACCCAGGAGGTGCAGGTTGCAGTGAGCCGAGATGGCGCCACTGCACTCCAGCCTGGGTGACAGAGAGAGACTCTGTCTCAAAAAAATAAATAAATAAATAAATAAATAAATAAATATACAATTATTGCTGCAAAGACATTGCAATACTTCAGCAGAAGTTACTCCAGATCTTAACAAACAACGTTTTTAGTTTCTCTCTGTTCATTTCCCATCAATATCATCATTAACTGAAATTAGTCAATTTCAGTTATAAATTTTTAATAGCTGTTGAAGTTCATATTTCCTGTAATTCTTCAAGTTACATATGTCATCTAGTCCAGTGATTTTCAAACTGTGATATGCAAATGAATTGCCTGGGGGTCATGTCAAAATGAAGACTCTGACTGAGCTGATCTGGAGTGGGGCTGAGATTCTGCACACCTAAAGAGCTCCCAGGTGATGCTGATGCTGCTGTTCCAGGAGCACATTTTAAATAGTAAGGATCTTGATTAGAAGACTGAAAAGGGCATTATTTTCTTTCAGTATTGTAAACTTTTATTTTTAGGGTGATATTGCACTTTCTGGCCAGGCGCGGTGGCTCACGCCTGTAATCCCAGCACTTTGTGAGGCCAAGGCAGGCGGATCACCTGAGGTCGGGAGTTTGAGACCATCCTGGCTAACATGGTGAAACCCCATCTCTACTAAAAGCACAAAAATTAGCTGGGCGTGGTGGTGGGCCCCTGCAGTCCCAGCGACTCGGGAGGCTGAGGCAGGAGAATTGCTTGAATCTGGGAGGTGGAGGTTGCAGTGAGCCGAGATCACACCACTGTACTCCAGCCTGGGTGACAGAGAGAGACTCCATCCAAAAAAAAAAAAGAAAAAGAAAAAACAATGACATTGCAGTTTCCAATGTAGAATAAAAAAGAAATTGATTTTAAAATTTAGTTTTGGAACATAGATGGGCTGAGGGATTTGCAATTGAAATCCCCTTTTTCTAATATTCTCTATGCAGGAGAAATTGAAAGGAATGTCAAGAGACTCTGCAATTTATTTTAAACTCAGTAATCTATCTTTTTGTAAGCATTATCACTTAGCTTTCCTTTGAAGAATTTCTTAGGCCAGGCGCAATGGCTCATGCCTGTAGTCCCAGCACTTTTAGGAGGACAAGGCAGGAGGATTGCTTGAGGCCAAGAGCTTGAGATCTTGTCCCCAAAAATATATATTTTTTAAGAAAGGTAAAAAATGAATTTCTTAATCCCTCTGAGGTTTTTGAGAGCATTATGTACATTAAAATTTTTTGACATTGCATTTTGATTTTTCTCTGTCATTTTGTTTAAACCATCAGTTTTACTTAAAGCATCATACCAGGTCAGTACTTAGCTAATAAATTTAGACATATGTTTGAAAGTAGAACTTTTGCTGGTATTTTAGAATGTGTATTCTTTATTAACCATCATCACAAAAAAGAGCATTGCATGCTGTTTGTAATTGTGTTTTTACTGGTGAGACACAGTAGAGACAGAGCCTGGCTTTGGTTCACCCCCATTAGAGCATTCCCACACATCACAAAACCCACACCATTACCTCGCTGCTAATAGTCTTTTTACTTAAAGAATTCCAGGAACTGGCTTTAGGAGCTAACCAAGGTTGCAGAGTGTCCCACCTCAGAAAGGAATGCTGCTGGACAATTGATTTATAGTCTTGTTGTCACAGGCCAGACTACCAGGTGGCCCATTACTCAAGATAACCATCACAACTGGATATGCTGACCTGCTACCCTACCCCTCACATTGTTTGCCTTGCCCAGCCTGTGTACACTCTACTTCTGATGTCAGTTCTGTACTTTGCCTAATAAAAAAGTCCTACCTGTTCTTTTATAGGTGGAGTCTGTCAGGGAATACTCTCTCTCTCTCTCTCTCTGTCTCTCTCTATCTCTCTTTCTCTCTCGTTCTGCCTCCCTTATGGCTGGACAAAAGCTCCAGTGAAGCTTTGAGAAAACTCTTTTGGCCTCATGTCAATGTTCTATTGCATTGAGAGCCCAAGAACCCATGGTCAGTTGACACGGGCATGGCAGTCTCAACTCGATTTTCCTGTCACACGTTTAACAGTGGTTTCAAATTTATATCCAGTGTGTTTTCAATATACCCAAACATTTAACTGAAGCTTTTGGTAGATGTATAGTTCTTTTTTTTTTTCTTTCTTTCCCCAAGATGGAGTCTGCTCTGTTGCTCAGGCTGGAGTGTTGCAGTGAGCTGAGATCGTGCCACTTCACTCCAACCTGAGCAACAGAGCAAGATCCTGTCTCAAAAAAAAAAAAAAAAAAAAGCAAGCAAGCAAGCAAGCAAGCTTTAAGGTGGGCATAGTGGTATGTGTCTGTAATCCCAACTACTCAGGAGGCTGAGGAAGGAAGATTGCTTGAGGACAGGGGTTCAAGACCAGCCCAGGCAACATGGTTAGATCTCCCCCTCATCTCAAATAATAATAATGATGCTTTAGAAAAGGAATATAGAATGATACAGAATATACCATTCTATATTTTATGGTGTATATATACATATATATATTTTTTATTCAAGGATTTCCTATTGCACCATGTTGTCATATTTCTAGCTTCTTGAATTATTTTTGTCTGGTTCAGTTTTTGTAAGTAGTTTACTAAAATTTAAAAATAATCTTTCTCCAGTTGTGACAAAAATCTCCCAAAAATGTTCACATATAGAAGTATTTGAGTTTAGAAAATCACAACTCTAACCATAATCATCTGCACTATATGCCTCGCATCAGGTAATGTGTCTAAAATAATAAGTAACATTTAGCATTTCTGACCTTATCCCAAAGTATTTTAATAGTATCTGTTAATGTTTTAATTAATGGGTTTTGTATTGCATCTCCTGGATAACAAAGTAGAGTAGATTTTTGGTGATAACATTTGATTTCTGATAAATATTCTGCATTGATATTACCAAATGTTGCCAAATTAATATTCTGATTTTTATACTGCTGAGACTAGCTCAGTCGTGGAGACCCTAACCCAGCAGCACTAGAGGAATTAAAGAAACACACACACACACACACACACACACACACACACAGAACTATAGAGTGTGGAGTGGGAAATCCAGGGGGCTGACAGCCTTCAGATCTGAGAGCCCCAAACAGAGTTTAACCCACATATTTACTGACAGCAAGCCAGTGATAACCATTGTTTCTATAGATTACAGATTAACTAAAAGCATTCCTTACAGGAAACAAAGGGATGGGCCAAAACAAAAGGATGGGTTGGGCTAGTTATCTGCAGCAGGAACATGTCCTTAATGCATAGATCACTCATGCTATTGTCTGTGGCTTAGGAACGCCTTAAGCAGTTTTCTGCCCTGGGTGGGCCAGGTGTTCCTTGCCCTCATTACAGTAAACCCACAACCTTCAGGGTGGGTGTCATAGCCATCACGAACATGTCACAGTGCTGCAGAGATTTTGTTTATGGTCAGTTTTGGGGCCAGTTTATGGCCAGATTTGGGGGCCTGTTCCCAACATGTTCCCCCTTTTTGTTTTTGCAAGATGATAAATGCAAAGGTGGCTTTATCATGGTGAGCTACTTCTTGCAGGAGTCGGGAGCTGCAGACTATACAAAGACAAACAACACAGATTAAAAGCACCATCATCATTGAAATCACAGAGCTTCCAAGTGTTTTTATCTATTTTAATGGGTTACTACCTGCTAATCTGTCTACACTCCTTCAAGCACTCCTATTTCTGGCATTAAGGTCAGGTGTGCCTGGGATGCTTTAAATATTTGTTCTTTTAATTTTGCAATATCCAAAGACAAGTTTGTAGAGTGTCCTTCTAGATGCTTTTTTACTCTCTCCCAAATTTTGATCTTATTAAGAGCCATTAATAGTTTCCACAAATCCTTATGTTAAGCTCCTAGAGCGGGCCATATCATTTGAGGTTGAGGTGCCACTATACCACCATGTTTTCAAATAATAGGAACTCTTGCCATACTTCTTACCATTTCTACCATTTGACCATTTTGTTCAGACCAGCTGAACATAGTGTGGCTGTGGCACACAGACTGACAGGTGCAATTCAAGCTAAACATCCCCTTAGGGGACCAATCAATAATGATTCCACGGGAATTGTTGCACAGCACCTCTGCCTGTTTTGCAATGCAATCTTCCCAAACAAATACATTCATTATTTCTAGCCAGGTCCAATTCTGTTTACAAATAGGTTTTTGAGGGCAGTATACCTCAATTACAGGAGCAGATTTATTATGGTAAATACGGAGACCAGAAAGCATGTGTAACTGTGTCATAGAGTGATTACATCCAGGCATTATTGCCAGCCAAGATTGATAAATACGCCCAATAAGTATAATTGTCCTCTGTGCCAGCCCTTGTTGAAGGAATACTCATGGCAATGGTGATCACCACTATCATAGCTATCATTAAATTACTCATTGTGACTGGTTGTCCCACTTTCCTTAGGTTTTCTTCTGCCATCTGTGACAGCTTCTTGATCTGTCCCCAGGTAGGTGGCTGCGTTCGATGGGTGTTGCTCGTGACAGTTGGGGTCCCCCTCAGCGTCAGTCTCAACATGGCTGCAACCAGGGGATCCTCGGGATCCTCCCAGAATCTATTCCTCAGCATCAGGCTCATGATAAGGTTTCAGGTGCCTCGATGATATCCAAATTGGCAGTTGATTTGGTCCTGGAGAAACACAAGGATAACCTCTACCCCAAGTTATTATTCTACCCATTTCCCAACTTTTTATCATTGGCTCTCTCCACCAAACCAGTTGTTCTGCTTCTGTCTTTGCAGCTGGTTTCTGTAGATGCTATTCAGCTGCTGATAGCATCTGGCCTTTAGGCAGTCTCAAAAAATTTAAAGTCAATAATACTAGATTCAATTGCATATGGGGTATCCCATAGTCCCTGTTTCCCCCTTTTTGCTTTTGCAACTGCTGTTTCAGGGAGGGATTCATTCTTTCCACTATGGCTTGTCCTTGAGAATTATACGGAATGCCAGTAATGTGTTTAGTATTCCATATAGAGAAAAATGTAGCTAGAGCTTGGCTAGTATAGCCTGGGACGTTATCTGTTTTAATAGAAGCTGGAATGCCCATCACCACAAAACACTGCAAAAGGTGATGTTTAACTCAGGCAGAAGACTCTCCTGATTGGCATGTAGCCCAGACAAAGTGAGAAAAGGTGTCCACACATACATGTACATAAGCTAGTCTCCCAAACGAGGGAACGTGGGTGACATCCATTTGCCAAAGAGAATTACGTTCCAATCCTCGAGGATTAACTCCCCCTGTAAAAGACGAGGAATGCACCATTTGACAAGTTGGGCATCACTGGATAATAGCTTTAGCTTCTGTCCAGGTAATGCTGTATCTGCGTTTGAGACCAGAGGCATTAACATGGGTTAAATTGTGAAAGTGTCTGGCATTAGATATTGCAGTAGCAACTAGGCGATCAGCCATTTGATTCCCTGGAGTCAAAGGTCCTGGAAGAGGTGTATGAGCCCGAATATGAGTAATGTAGAAAGGGTGCATTCTACTCCTAATTGCTGTTTGCAGTTGGGTAAATAAAGTCATCAGTTGTTCATCTGTATGAAATCGTAACTGAGCATTTTCAATTAATTGTGTGGAATGAACCACATATGAAGAATCAGAAATCACATTAATAGGTATATCAAAAGCAGTCAATACCTCAATTATAGCTACAAGCTCTGCTTTTTGAGCCGAAGTATAGGGCGTCTGGAAAACTTTACCTTTCGATCCAGAATAAGAAGCTTTACCATTACTAGACCCATCTGTGAAGACATTTTCAGCACTTTCAATTGGTTTAAATTTAGTTATTTTAGGGAGAATCCAATTAGTTAATTTCAAAAATTGAAATAATTTTGTTTTAGGAAAATGGTTATTGAAAATACCCACAAAGTCAGCTACGTGGGTTTGCCAAGTAAGACTATTTATAAAAGTTGCTGTATTTGTGCCTTTGTAAGAGGAACAATAATTTTTCCAGGATCATATCCATGTAATTTAACAATCCGAGTTCTCCCATTTCCTATCATAGTAGCAATTCGATCCAAATAAGGGGTCAAAGTCTGTGAATTAGCATGTGGAAGAAAAAGCCATTCTACTAAGTCCTGCTCTTGGACAATAACACAGTAGGTGAATACTGAGTTGAAAAAATTAGCAAATCTAGAGTCTTCTCTTGATCTATTCTATTCATTTGAGCTTTACAGACTTGCTTTTCAATCAGCTGTAACTCTGCCTCAGCCTCATTTGTTAATTGCCAAGGGCTAGTGAGACTAGGATCTCCTCTAAGGATAGAAAATAGATTACTCATGGCATAGGTAGGAATGCCTAGAGCAGGTCATATGCAATTAATGTCCCCTAGTAATTTTTTAAAGTCATTTAATGTTTTCAATTGATCCCGACGTATATGGTTACTATATGGTTACTTTCTGTGGCACAATGGTAGTGTCATTTACTAAGTTCCCCAAGTAGGAGTAAGGAGTAGTAGTCTGAATTTTTTAAGTAGCTATAATTAAACTGGCACGAGAAATCGAGTTTTGCAAGTGATCATAACATTGGAGTAATATTTCTCGAGGGGCGGCAGCACAAAGTATATCGTCCACATAATGAATAATGTAACACTGTGAAAATTTTTACAAGTAGGTTCAATTGCTTGCCCTACATAAGTCTGGCAAATTGTTGGACTATTTAACATGCCTTCTGGCAACACTTTCCAATGCAAATGCTTAGCAGGCTGCAGGTTGTTTACTGCAGGAATTGTAAATGCAAACTGTTCACAGTCTTGCTCAGCTAAGGGGATAGTAAAGAAACAGTCTTTTAAATCTATGGCTATTAAAGGCTGATTTTTCAGAATCATAGCAGGAAAAGACAATCCTGGCTGTAATGCCCCTGTAGGTTGTATAACGGAATTAACGGCTCTTAAGTCAGTTAATATTCTCCATTTACCTGATTTTTTCTTAATAATAAAGACTGAAGAATTCCAAGGGGAAAATGTTGGAGCTATGTGTTCTTTTTCTAATTATTCAGTAACTAAGTCCTCTAAAGCCTCCAGTTTCTCTTTATTTAGTGGCCATTATTCTATCCAAATTGGCTTATCTGTCAACCATTTTAAAGGTATAGGTTCTGGAGGCTTAACAATGGCCACGATCAAAAATGATACCCTAAACCTTGGTGGGAACTTTGTCTTCCTGCTTGAAGTGGTTCCTTCAAACATTGCAAATTTTTTCCTAGTCCCATACCAGGGACATACCCCATTCCATGCATCATATGTTGACTTTGAGGGCTATATAATTGTTCTGGAATTAGAACTTGTGCTCCCCATTGTTGTAATAAATCTCTCCTCCATAAATTTATAGGTACAGAAGTTACAATTGGTTGAATAGTCCCAGGTTGTCCATCGGGCCCTTCACAGTGCAAAATATAACTACTTTGATATACTTCAGGGGCTTTACCAACTCCAACTATGTTAAATTGAGCGAGTTGAATTGGCCAGGAGGATGACCAGTGCTGTAGAGAAATAACTGAAATGTCTGCTCCTGTATCTACCAAACCTTTAAATTTCTTTCCCTGAATAGTTATTTCACAGGTAGGACATTTATCAGTAATTTGATTCACCCAATAAGCTGCTTCACCTTGTTTATTTGTGCTTCCAAATCCTCCTGTTCGTTTAATTTCACTTTTCCCCATTTCCACATATGGCACAATCAGGAGCTGTGCTATGCGCTCTCCTGGCTCTGCTTTCCAGGCAACAGAAGTAGATAAAACAATTTGAATTTCCCCATTGTAATCTGAATCAATGACTCCTGTATATACTTGCAGTCCTTTTAAATTTAAACTAGATCTACCTAGAAGTAATCCTATAAGCCCCACTGGCAACATCTGACTGGAGACAGGAACATTCTTTAACAGTCCCATTACAAAAGGATAACCTTGTCCATACTGATTAATAGCTTGTTTAAATTCTTTGAGTAATTTAAAAGGAAAAGGCTCAAATGTAGCTATAATATTTCCCTGTTGATCTGGGGGGTGTATTCCAACAGGGACTGCCAAACCTCTAAATCACCCTCTCTTCTAGCTTGCTGGATTCCTGCTTGAATAGAACTGAGAGCGGTCACTCGAGGCACTGCTCGGTCACTGGGGCAACTACTTTTCACCCAGTGTCCTCTGGAAAAGAAAGATCTGGAGGGTCAGGCTACTCTTTTTCTTCAAAATAATGAGGGGGTGCAGAAGGGTAGGGAGGAACCTCTTCCTCCTTTGCCGCTTTAGCTTTAGCTGGCAAACAAACCTGCTCTGTCATGTCTTCTGTTAGTTCATTATACTTTCCTTCCTCCTCATCATTAGGGTGAAAAGGTTCCAAGGTGGAATGAACCAGAGCCCACACTTGTCCCATTGATACCCTGATGCTTCCGAGCTCCCCTTCTTACTCACCACGGGGATTGCTTAAGAGTACTCAGGTGTCCTCCAGCTTAGTTCCACGTTCTCCAACCGTCGCTCTGGCGACCCTTCAACCCAGGTTCGAGCCCCATGTATGGACACCACTTGCTGAGACCAGCTCGGTTGTGGAGACCCTAACCCAGTGGCACTAGAGGAATTAAAGACACACACACACAGAAATATAGAGTGTGGAGTGGGAAATCAGGGAGCTGACAGCCTTCAGAGCTGAAAGCCCTGAACAGTTTTACCCACATATTTATTGACAGCAAGCCAGTGATAAGCATTGTTTCTATAGATTATAGATTAACTGAAAGTATTCCTTATGGGAAACAAAGGGATGGGCTGAAACAAAGGGATGGGCTCTGGCTAGTTATCTGCAGCAGGAACATGTCCTTAAGACACAGATCGCTCATGCTATTGTTTGTGGTTCAGGAATGCCTTTAAGCGGTTTTCCGCCCTGGGTGGGCCAGGTGCTCCTTGCCCTCATTATGGTAAACCCACAACCTTCAGCGTGGGTGTCATAGCCATCACAAACATGTCACAGTGCTGCAGAAATTTTGTTTATGGCCAGATTTGGGGGCCTGTTCCCAACACTATCCTTTTTTTTTTTTTTTTTTTTTTTGAGACAGAGTCTCACTCTTTTGCCCAGGCTGGAGTGCAGTGGCATGATCTCAGCTCACTGCAACCTCTGCTGCCCAGGTTCAAGCGATTCTCCTGCCTCAGCCTCCCAGGTAGCTGGGATCACAGGTGCCTACCACAGAGCCCAGCTAATTTTTGTAGTTTTTAGTAGAGACAGGGTTTCACCATCTTGGCCAGGCTTGTCTTGAACTTCTGACCTCGTGATCCACCCACCGCAGCCTCCCAAAGTGCTGGGATTACAGGCGTGAGCCACTGCACCTGGCCCTGATTTCTATACTCTTAATATTAATTGGTTAAGTGCCTGAATGCTAGACATTGCCTCACCAAAACCAGAATTATTTATATATATATATATATATATATATATATATTTTTTTTTTTTTTTTTTTTTTTGAGACAGAGTTTCACTCTTTCGCCCAGGCTGGAGTGCAGTGGCATGATCTTGGCTCACTGCAATCTCCACCCTCTGGGTTCGAGTGATTCTCCTGCCTCAGCCTCCCCAGTAGGTGGGATTATAGGTGCGCACCACCACACCCAGCTAATTTTTGTACTTTTAGTAGAGACGGGGTTTCGCCAGGTTGGCCAGTCTGGTCTTGAACTCCTGACCTCAGGTGATCTGCCTGCCTCAGCCTCCCAAAGTGCTAGGATTACAGGCATGAGCCACCACACCCAGCCTTATATAATGTTTTCAGCAACAGCACAGCAGCATTTCTCCCACATTATAGTTTTGCAGCAGTACCTATCACTGTGCCTCCTTTCTCTCTAATGCTCTTTTCTGAGTTTTCTTTCCTTTCTTTTCTTTCTGTACTTTCATCTGAATACTTACTGCTGCCTGTTTTCCCATTCATAAATCCACTATTTTGCTGCTTCTAATCTGCTCTAAATCTCATCTAATGATTTTTTTAATAACAACTTTAGTAGGGTATGCTGTATATCTATTCATACAATCAACTGTACCTATTTAAAATGTACAGTTTGATGAGTTTTAAGTTATGTATACACCCATACAACCACAACCATAACCAAGATGCAGATCATTCTTGTGGTGCCTAATGTCTGTAATTCCAGCACTTTGGAAGGCTGAGGAGGGAGGATCACTTGAGCCCAGGAGTAGTTCAAGACCAGCCTGGGCAACACGGCAAGACCCAACACAAGAAATTTAAAAATTAGTTGGACGTGGTGGCGCATGCCTGTAATTCTAGCTACATAGGAGGCTGAGGTGGGAGGATTGCTTGAACCTGGGAGGTTGAGGCTGCAGTGAGCTGTGATAGTGCCACCACACTCCAGCCTGAGCAACAGAGTGAGACCCTGTTGCAAACAAACCAATAAAAAAACATGCAGACCACTGTTATCATCCCCAGAAGTTTCTTTGTGCCCCTTTTTCTCACATTTCTCCCTCCACATCTGGTCCCAGGCAACCATTGGTTTGCTGTCACTATAGATTAGCTAGCATTTTTCTAGAATGTTATGTAAATGGGATTGCACATTATGTATTCTTTTGTTTTTGGCTTCTGCTGCTATTAGGTTGGTGCAAAAGTAATTTTGGTTTTTGCCAAAGTAATGCAGTGAGTAATGGCAAAAACCGAAATTACTTTTGCACCAACCTAGTATAATGATTTTGAGATTCATGCACTCTACTGAGTGATTGACAGTTCATTTCTTTTCATTGCCAAGTAATATTCATTTAATTGAATATTTTGTTGCTGAGTAAATTGAATGTATTTTGTTCATCTATTCACCTGTTGATGTGTATTTGAGACATTTCAGGTTTTGCGATCCTGTGAATAGATACTGCCAATATTCTTGTACAAATTTTGGTGTACCCAGGCACAGTGGCTCACACCTGTAAACCCAGCACTTAGGGAGGCAAAGGTGGCCAGATAGCTTGAGCTCAGGAATTCAAGACCTGCTTGGGCAACATAGCAAGACTCCTTTCTCAATTACAAAAAAATTTTTTAACTTTATTTTAAAACCCCCCAAATCTTAGTATAGATGTATATTTTCGTTTCTCTTGGGTAAATACGTGATAGCCTTTTTTAGGCATCAACTTGGCTGAACTATAGTCCCCAGTTATTTAATCAAATACAAATCTGAGAGTTGCTATGAAGGTAGTTTTTGTTTTGAAACAGGGTCTCACTTTGTTACCCAGGCTGAATGCAGTGGTGCCAGCATGGCTCACTGAAGCCTCGACCTTGTGGGCTCAAGCAATCCTCCCACCTCAGCCTCCTGAGTATCTGGGATTATAGGCACACCATCATGCCCTGCTAATTTTTAAAAAAACTTTTGTAGAGATGAGGTCTCACTATGTTGCCCAGGCTTGTCCCAAACTCCTGGGCTCAAGTGAACCTCCTGCCTCAGCCTCTCAAAGTGTTGGGATTACAGGCATGAGCCACTATGCTGGGCCTGAAGGTGTTTTTGTGGATATAACTAAAATTCATAAATTGTTTTTAAGTAAGAAAGATTATCCTAGATAATCTGGTTGGTCTGGATTCAATCAGTAGAAAGTCTTTAAAAGCAGAGTTGAAGAAGAAGAAATTCTGAAGAAGAAATTCTGCCTGTGGACTGTGACTTCAGCCCTTGCCTGAAATTTCCAGCCTATTCTCCTGCCTGCATTATAGATTTCCAACTTGCCTAATCAGCCCCCCTCCCCCCACATAAGTCAATTCCTTGAAGTAAATCTCACTGTGTATCTCCTACTGGTTCTGCTTCTCTGTTGGAACCCTGACTGATACCGATTTGGTACTGAAAGTGGCTCTAGAGGAATGGAATCTTGAGGATGAGTTTTCTGAATTTGTTCTGCGTTTTCTTGAATTTCTTGAATTTCATGAATTCTTATATGATTACATTTAAAGGCACTAGTGACTCTATTTCCAGTGGTGAAGAGGGCACTGGGAGTCCATGGCATGATAAAGCATCGAATACGCCTAATGAAACACCTATAGAAAGCAAGGTTATGCGTGACTGTGTATTTGTTACCTTAGAATATTTTAGTTAAACCAAGGAACAGAATGGCATTGGCCATAACTGCACTGAAGAAAGCAGGCAAAGAAAAGGATGAGCTCAGGGTTTCAGATTCCCACCTTTCAGTGTTTAAAGCTTTAAGCTATGCATAGATGACCTGGAAGCTTCCATATCTGTCCTGAAAGGAACCCTTAGGGCCACAATTTCTGAAAACCAACCCAGAGTCTCATTCTGCAAGGGGCTGATACAGATGCTGTTTAGAGCCTTTGGCAGGCCACTGTAGGTGAATCACGCTGCAGACCCTTAAGATTTTGGAGCAAAGCCCTGCAGAAGAGTACTGTCCTCTTGAGAAACAACGTTTGGCTTGCTGGGCCTAAGCAGAGACTGAACAGTTAACCGTGGGTCATCAAGTTACCATGTGACCTGAGCTGCTCATCATGAACTAAGTGTTATCTGATCCACCAAGCTATAAAGTTGTGCACTCACAGCAACACTCCATTATCAAATTGAAGTGGTATATATGAGATTGGGCTCAAATGGGCCCTGAAGGCATAGGTAAGTTGCACGAGGAAGTGGCCCAAATATCCATGGCCCCAACTCCTGCTACATTACCTTCTCTCTCCCAGCCTGCACCTATGGCGCCATGGGGCATTCCTTATGACCAGTTGACTGAAGAAGGGAAAACTCAGTTGTGGTTCATAGCCCAGGTTTATGATGGTTCTGCACAATATGCAGGCACCAGTGAAAATAAAACTAGTGTCCCTTTCTGGGACATCCCTGAAGAATAATGGTGAAAAAAAAATCCCCCAGTTGGCAGAACTTTGAAGAGTGTACTTGGTTGTTCATTTTTCCTGAAAGTAGAAACGTCCAGAGGCTCTTCTGACCAAGAGGTCTTAGTTCCAAAAGAAGGAATGCTTCCACCAGGAGACCCAACAACATTTCCATTGAATTGGGAGTTGAGGTGGTCACCTGGCCACCTTGGGTCTTTCATGCCTCTGAATCAACAGGTAAAGTGGGAAGTTCCTCTACTGGCTGAGGTGACTAATCCTGATTACTAAGCAGGAAATTCGGTTGCTACTACAAGATGGAGACGTATTAATGATAGGTAACTTTATATTGCAGTATTAAGTTATAAGACATCAAAGGTGGAGAAGAAACATCACTCAAGGACTTTGCATCCCCTTGGGAAAAGTGTTGTTATGTTTTCAATAGTATGCAGGATAGTTATATCATGTTAAGTGAAAGTATGACTTTGTTATTGTCTTTAAATTTTTTTTTTTTTTGAGACATAGTCTCACTCTGTCACCCAGGCTTGAATGCAATGGCATGATCTTGGCTCACTGCAACCGCCGCCTCCCAAGTTCAAGCGATTCTCCTGCCTCAGCCTCCTGAGTAGCTGGGATTAGAGGCATACGCTGCCACATCCGGCTAATTTTTGTATTTTTAGTAGAGATGGGGTTTCACCATGTTGGCCAAGCTGGTCTCAAACTCCTGACCTCATGATCTGCCCACATTGGCCTCCCAAAGTGCTGGGATTACAGGCGTGAGCCACTGCGCCCAGCCAAAGACTTTTTTTTTTTAAGAGATATGGTCTTGCTGTGGTACCCAGGCCGGAGTACAGTGGTGCGATCATAGGTCACTGCAACCTTGAACTCCTGGGCTCAAGGGATCCTCCTGCCTCAGGCTCCCCAGTAGCTAGGACTACAGGTGTACACTCCCACACTGGCTAATTAAAAAAAATTTTTTTTGTAGAAATGGGGTCTCATTAGGTTGCCCAGGCTGGTCTTGAACTCCTGGGCTGAAGCGATCCTCTTGCCTTGGCCTCCCAAAGTGCTGGGATTACAGGGTCCCTGGTGTGTTATTGTCAGCCTTTAGAGATCAAGTATGGTTAAGGAGATGTGTAGGAGTGTGATTGCTGGGTCATCGGTCTTAATTTTAGCTATCCTAATGAGAGTGTTGTGGTTTTAAATGGAAAAATCCCTAGTTGACTAAAGATGTTGGTAATCTCTTCATTGCTTATAGGCCATTTTTGTATCTTGTGAACTATCTACAAGATATAAAAAAAGCCTTTGCCCATTGGTTTATTGGGCTGGCTTATTACTCATTTATAACAGTTCTTTATGTATTCTGGATACAAGACTTTTGTCTAATGCTTTCTATTGCAAACTCTCCACCTGTGGCTTGCCTTTTCATTTTCTTAATGTTGTCTCTCAAAGAGTACCAGTTTTTAATTTTGATAGAGTTCAACTTATCAATTGCTTTCTTTTTTTTTTTTTTTTTTTTGAGACAGGGTCTCACCCTGTCACTCAGGCTGGAGTGCAGTGGCGCCATCTCAGCTCACTGCAACCTCCGCCTCCCAGGTTCAAGTGATCCTCCTTCCTCAGCCCCACAAGTTAGCTGAGACTGCAGGTACGTGCCAACAAGCCCAGCTAACTTTTGTATTTTTTGTAGAGATAGCATTTTGCCATGTTGCCCAGGCTGGTCTTGAACTCCTGAGCTCAAGTGATCTGCCTGCCTTGGCCTCCCAAAGTGCTGGGATTACAGGTGTGAGCCAGGCCATGAATCACTTTTTATGGTTCATATTTTTTGTGTCCTAAGAAGTCTTTGCCTATCCCAAGGTCACAAATACTTTTTCTATGTTTTCTTCTAAAATTTTCTTTTATAGGTTTAGCTTTTAAATTTAGGTTTATCATCCATTTTGAGTTACCTCAGGTGGCTCCTTCAGTGCTTCTGAAATCTATAAATGCATCCTCCACCAACCTCAAATCTAAGTAAACCTTGCCACCTCCTTCTCCTTCACTCCTCATTCAATTTATTGCCAAGTCCTGTCCATTTTACCACTACATTAGCACTCTTCTCTGTCACTACCCTCCTACTTTGCCTTGACTATGTGGCCAGTGGCCTCCTAACTGGCTTCCCGGCCCCAGCTTTGAGACTCCCATCAGACCACTCTTCACGTTGCTATCTAAGTAACTTAAAAACAGACATAATGGGCTGGGGGCAAGGTGGCTCACACCTGTAATCCCAGCACTTTGGGAGGCCGAGGTGGGTGGATCATGAAGTCAGGAGATTCAGACCATCCTGGCCAACATGGTGAAACCCCGTTTCTACTAAAAATACTAAAAAAATTAGCTGGGTGCAGTGGCGTGCACCTGTAGTCCCAGGTACTAGGGAGGCTGAGGCAGGAAAATCACTTGAACCCGGGAGGCAGAGATTGCAGGGAGCCGAGATCGCGCCACTGCACTCCAGTCTGCCTCTCAAAAACAAAAAACAGACATAATGATCAAGTTATTTCCCCTGCAACCCTGCTGAAAAAAACCTGAATAGCTTCTACCAAGCACTCAGATTAAAGTCCCAAATCCGGCCGGGTGTGGTGGCTCATGCCTGCAATCCCAGCACTTTGGGAGGCCGAGGCGGGCAGATCACAAGGTCAGGAGTTCCAGACCAGCCTGGCCAAGATGGCGAAACCCCATCTCTACTAAAAATACAAAAATTAGCCAGGTGCGCTGGCGTGCGCTGGTAGTCCAGCTACTCCGGAGGCTGAGACAGGAGAATCGCTTGAACCCAGGAGGCGGAGGTTGCAGTGAGCTGAGATCGAGCCATTGCACTCCAGCCTGGGTGACCTGGGTGACAGAGTGAGACTCTGTCTCAATAAATAAATAAATAAATAGGTCCCCAATCCTCACCTGTTCTCGCCTACCTCTTCCCACACTCGCAGTCTACTCCACATTCAATATTCTTTAGCGCTCCCCATTCTGGCCATGCCAAGACCTCACCCCTTGGAGCAACTAACTCCTCCCAACTCAATTCCTCAGATTCTACCCTCTTCATCCTCAACTAAATCAATTCCCCCATAAAGATTCTCTTAGTACCATATACCTCTCAGAAGATTTTTACTAATTGAAAACTTAATTTTGTCTGATTCTCCCATGAATGTTTTCCTTCTCCACCAGATCTCAAACTTCATGAGACCAGGGACTCCGTTGACCCCATATGGTACTCCCAGCTCCTTGAACACGGAAGAAGCCTCATTACATAAGTAATAAAAATAAAATAAATTAGGAAAATGGGAATTATAAAGGGATGGGCTGGTGGCTGCTTACAATCCCTTCAGTGGTAATACCTGGTGCAAAGTAATGAGTCTCTGCCCTTTTCCAAGCAGCCTGCTAGGTGGAATGAAGGAAGGCCTTGCGACTCAAATAGGGAGAACAAACGTGTGATCCAGAGCGGCGGGCAGAAATCCGACGAAACCCCATATTACTCAGGGGCGTTGCTCCTAGGGCGAGGGTGGCTCGGTTCCTAGAGCTTTTTGAGAGGAGGAGCTTACCTGGAGCAACTCAGCACTACCTGCAGCGGCGCAGCTCAACCAGCCCAGAGACCGCGTGGGAAGGCGGGCTAGGGGAGGGGCCACGCCTTCCAGGGCCCATCCCCGCCCCTGCGGCGTGCGCGCGCCCGTCCGCCCGCTCCCTTGCGCGTGCGCCGCCGGCCGGGGGCGGAGGTTGTGGGCGGTGGCGGCTGTGGCGGGGGCGCGCGCGCGCTCGCTCTCTCGCGCCGGTTCGCCCTCCCGCGCCGGGGCTGAGGCGGCGGCGGCGGTGGCGGTGACTGAGGCGGCGGCGGCTGAGGCGGCGCGGGGGGAGGGTCGGGAGGGGGGGGTGGTTGTGGGGGATGGACCGGGTGCGGCGGCCGCAGTGGAAGGAGCAGGCGCTTGAGCTCGAGCGACGGCGCTGGCGGAGACGCCGGCTGCTCCTCCCCTCCCCGCCGGTGAGTGAGCGCCCCCGCCCCGGACGCTGGCGGCGGTCGCGGCCCCCTCACGGCCCTCCGCGGTGGGTGGGGACAGTCGTGAGGGAGCGTGGCCTGGCGGCGCAGCGGACGCGGGCCTGGCCTCCCGCTCGCGGCCTGTCGGGGCTGGGACCTGCCGTCGCCCCCGTTCGAGGTTGAAGCCCCGGGCCTAGGACTCGACCCCCAGCATCCCACGGGGCCTCTTTCCTTTCCCGGCTCATTCCGCTGTCATTTTGACCTGGGGTTCCCCTCCAGCCCCTCGCCTCGTTCCCTTCCCAGCATCCCAGGGCCGAGGTGAGGGAGGGGCGTGTGAGAAGTCGGGCCGAGGCCCGAGGGACTGTTTAGGAGCCGGTTCCCGTCGGAATCTGGGGTTTTAGGAGCCCTCGATCGCCATGGCGTCCCAGAAGTTAGCCACCAGGACTCAGCCATTTCCACCTGAAACCAGTTTTGCACCTATTGTTTTGATTTTGAACTGTCTTTCGAGGGGAGGAGGGAGCCCGGCGTACTGGGGAGAATATGTAGTGGGAGGTGGGATGTGAGGAGGAGCTGGCTGGGCTTGGTCTCGGCCTCAGGATGCCCCCTGTTAACCCCTGTAGGATAGGGGAAAGAGGTGCAGCGAGTTGCACCTTCCCTAAAGGGCCAGAGATTCGTTTATAGCTTGCGAATCTCTGCTTTTTCAGCCTCGGTAAAGGGGTATCATTTGTGGTTGGTTTGGTTCGTCCCTTAACAACATTCTTGGTGAGGAATCCCCAGGTGAATCTGCCACGGAGTGAAGCAGCCCACTTGAGCTGTTGGCTACCCCCGGCCCCCGCAACGCCCGTTGGCTTTTGTGACACGTTACACGTTAGTGTTGGTAGAGCCTAGCCGTCAGAGGTACCTGTACCATAAGCATCTCTACGAAAGGTGTGAATTCCTAAATTAGCTTATTCTGTTCTTAAAAAAAAAAAATCCAGGGCATAAATATCAGATAGCTGCTTTAAAATAAAACAAAACTTTGATTTGTTCCAGGAGGTAGATACATTTTTTTCTCTGTATATTAGGAGATTGAAACTCAAATTGTGAGTAGGTGGTAGTTTTACTAGTGTCATGTGACAAAACGATGCTTATAGATGGGATTTTAACTTAATAACCCTGTCCTCTACCAACAGAGTTGGCTTGTATTTTTTTGCAATCACCCACTCTCTGGCTAGTGTAGAAAGATTAAAAAGCTGCTTCTGGTCTGTGGGTGGTAACCTTTTAATTTCTGAAGAGTTTTGAGCTGCTTATAGATTGCTGATCAGCAGCATAGGAAAATTTTAGACGTTAAAAATTCATTAGCATGTGATGTAGAACTGTTATAATTATGAGCATTGATTAAGATTTGGTATGGTGTAGGTGCTGTGTACTGTGTATAAGAATGAGATTTCTCAGAGCATTTGCATCTTAAGATAAACAGAAGCACAGACCGCTGACAGTGTTGGGACACCTTGCAGAAGGACTCTTTTATGAGCACAAAAGACCTGTAGTCTACAATTTGATGAAGAACCCCAGTGCCCTAGACTAGTTGGTGACCAACCACCATTACTTTAAACTGGGCCTTCTTGATAGTAGAATATTTCCCCTTTTCTGCAAGACTGCTTATGCCTCTCATAAATGTGCAGAACATATAATGGCTCAGGGCTTAGGTTTAAGCTCCTCAGAGTGGCATTTATGGATCATTCATTAATTCATCAAATGTTTATTGAGCCCTTACTTTGTTCCAGGATGTTTTCTAAGTACTGGGCTACATTGTTGGGACAAAACAGACAAGGCCTCTTCCCTAATTAAGCTTTATTCTGTATGTATGGGAATGAGGAATATACAACAAACAAGCAAATAGGATCATTTCAGATAATGATATAAATCAGTGGTTAGTAAGCTTTTTTTGGTAAAGGACCAGGAAGTACAGTACATACCAGGGTTTTTGGGCCATATGATCTCTTTTGCAACTACTCAATTCTGTTTTAGTACAAAAGCAGCCACAGACAGTACGTGAACAAATATGTTTATATTCCAGTTAAACTTGGGACACTGAAATTTGAATTTCATAAAATTTTCACATGTCACAGAATATTAATGAGTTTTTAAAAATATTTTCCCCTAGCCATTTAAAAATGTAAAACCATTCTTAGCCATATAAAACGGGGCAAGGTGGATTTGGCCTATAGATTATAGTCTGGCCTTTTATAGAAAATGTTTGCTGACCCCTAATATGAATTATGAAGAAAATAAAACAAGCTGATGTGACAAGTGAATGACTGAAAGGTGGGTGGAGGGTTACTTAGTGAGAGGAGGCCTCATTAAGGAGAAGGTATTTGAGTTGTGACCTGAAAAATGGTAGCGCTTTCCTGGTAAATGAAACAGTGAGTGCAAAGGTCTGCAGGTGCAGATGAGCTGCTCTTGTTTTCCAGTGTTGAACTTCCCCACATAACATGTCATTCTTACATTTTATGTAAATACATTTTATGTCTTTGTTAGAATGTTGTTCTTCATGTAATAGGATGGTACCTTTCCGTTTCCTCTTCCTGATCCTGCCTTACAGTACCCATGGAGTAAGACTGCAGTGGAGTTGCACCTCATCCCAGGGTTAGGTCCTCAAGTTAGTGCATGAGGCAAAAATCATGTAAGATGAAAACTCTTCTGGAAAATTCCATAAATTGCTCAAAAAGTATGGTCTGCATGTTTTTGTATGTATAGTTGTATAAAATTCTTACGAATATGAAAGGCTGAGAGCCACAGAGCTTGACTGAGGGAAAGAGCAAGAGGAAATAAATTGTTATATAGGTATCTGGGCCTTCAGACTGTTTGGCTTTTTAAAACTGCTCTGGAGTCCCTATCAGAGAGTGGGGGATGGTATAGAATTTTGACATGTTCCTGTTTCCATGCAGGGTTTAATTCTATTTTTATGTTAAGCCTCTATTACATTAATACATGCTCATAGATGTGTTGCGAATATTAAACAAGATAATGTATTTGAAAGAGCCCGGCACTTAAGATAGTCAGTAAACATTTGCAGAATTAGAATCTGATTTTTACTTCTTTGGGCTCACATACATACTGTCCTTTGAAAAGTTGTAGAGAACTTAGCCACCTGCTTCCTGTCTATCCATATTGGCATTTCCTGTTGTGGCTCCACTGAACAGCTGTCACTCTCTTTGTCCTTGAGCATTGGTCACATTTTGCCAGAGGTTGGCTTGTAAGTTAAATGGGTATAGGTGTAACTCTGTTAGTTCTGCCACATGACCCTTAAAGTGTTTGAGCACTGCTATTATGTCTCCTATTTAAGTCTTCACTTTTCAGAGCTGAATGTTTTTATTTTTCTTTTTTTTAAAGATATTATGGAGAGAGATGGGGTCTCATATGTTGCCTAGGCAAACTCCTGGCCTCAAGTGATCCCCCTTGCCTTGGCCTCCAAAAGTGCTGGGTTTATAAGCATGAGCCACCATGCCCCAGCCATTTTAATTTCTGTTAGCTTTTTCTTATTTCTTCACCCTTCTGGTTGTTGTGAGCTTAGTTTATTCTTTTTTTTTTTTTTTAACTTTGCTACTCTGAAGTATATTTTAAGGTACAAATTCAAGTTTTATCTCCTTGACCAAATCTTTCCTGATAATTCTAGACCTTCTTTATATTCTTAATATAGTTTTATCTTTACTCTTCAATTTAATTTTTTCTTATTTTTGTATTTTATACTAGTTTCATGAGCATTTGTCTTCACTCTGCGACAACAAGCTTCTTGAAGGCAAAGACCATATTTTAAGTATCTTTTGTGTCCTAGATGCACTGAGTAAAATTCCAGGGATGCCGTTGATCATAAATTTGTTATAATTTTTAAAAATAGACTTTAAAATTTAGATTTACAGAAACATTGCAAAGATACTGCAGAGTTCCTGCCTATCCTACACTGTTTCCCATATTATTAACGTCTTACATCCCTGTGATCATTTGTCTGTATTAATAAACCAGTATTGATACATTATCACAGAGACCATACTTTATCAGGTTTCCACAGGTTTTTTCCTTAATGTTCTTTCACTATCCCAGGATCCCATCCACAATACCACATTACATTTAGTAATTATGTCTCCTTAGCTCCTCTTGGTTGTGACAATTTCTCAGACTTTCCCTGTATTTAGTGACCTTGGCAGTTTTGAACATTACTGGTCAGGTTTTGTTTGTTTGTTTTTTTGAGACAGGATCTCCCTCTGTCACCAAGACTGGAGTGCAGTGGAACGATCTCATCTCACTGCAGCCTCAACACTCTGGGGTCAAGTGATCCTCTGACCTCAATGTCCGGAGTAGCTGGGCCCAGAGATGTGTGCCATCATGCTCTGCTAATTTTTGTACTTTTTGTAGAGATGGGGTTTCACCATGGTGCCCAGGCTGGTCTCGAACTCCTAGAACCAAGCAATCCACCCTCCTCAGCTTCCTAAAGTGCTGGGATTACAGGCGTGAGTCACTGTGTCCAGCCGTGGTCAGGTATTTTTATAGAACGTTCTTTGGGATTTATCTGATGTTTTCATTGTGGTTAGGCCAAGAATGTAATATGCTTTTGGAAGGAAGACCACAGGGCTAAAGTGTCATTCTCATCACATATTAGGGATGTATACTACCAGTATGACTTATCAGTGTTGATGTTAACCCTGCTCATCTGGCTTGAGGCAGAGTTTGTTTTCTGCAAAGTTACTCTTTCCTCCTCTCTTTCCTACTGTACTCTGGAAAATTGTCACTATGTACAGCCCACACTTAGTGGTGATGAGTTATGTTCTACCTCCTTAAGGGTGGTGTATCTACTTAAATTTCATTGCTAAATTATTTCAGCTTTGGCCATTGGGAGCTCTTTAAGTTGGCTCCTGTATCCTTTCTCTTTGACATATCTCCATCATTGTGTGTGTACTTTCTTCCTTTCTGGCAACATAAGATGCTCTTAAGGTTCATCTTGTATATTTTCTGCTCCAGTCCTGTAATCAGTCATTTCTCAAGGAGCCCTGGTACCTTTTATTGAAGAATGGTGTTACAAACCAAGATCTGGGTGATAGGTGTGCTTGTTGGTACTGAAGTGTTGTATCTTCTAGGCCCTCTCAAGGGACGGAGGAAGGAGATATATGTGTACATATTAACCTGTGTATATACACATATCTATATATGTTTCTATATGTAACTGTGTCTTTATTAAGCTAAACATGACTTCGTGATGTCTCCAACTCTAATTCATTACCACATGTATCATTCTAACCTTACCTTGCTTATATGTAACCTCCTGCTTCATCAGTGAAAAACCTGCCTCCCACCATCTGCCAGAATTAATTATTCCATTCCAGCATACACGTATAGTGGTTTCAGAACTGTTAATCTGTATACCTGTGGGAAACTAGTTTATCAACTAGAGACTTACAGATAGTTCTTTTTGCCTTTAGTTTTATAGACAGCACTCATTTCTAATGTTTTTTAGGTCAGCAGCTTTCCCTACTTACTTCCTGAAGTCGTCTCGTGTATTTGTGATAGATTTAGATTTTGTCACATTCTGCATTTTTTGCTGAGCTACCTTTATCTCCTAATTACTTAAGAATTTGCACACATTAAAGTTTATTCTTTGTGATATAAATTTCTATGGGTTTTGACAGCTTCTAGTATTTTATGTTTAACATTACAGTATCATACAGATTAGTTCCACAGCTCTAGAAAGTTTGTCTCTCACTGATTTACTTCCCTCACACCAGCCTCTGGCAACCTCACTGATCTTTTAACTGTCTCTATAGTTTTGCCTTTTTTAGAATGTCAATATATTATATTTTAAAAAGTGTTTTTGAGTGGTCTTTTTTTTAATGCTCACAGTATTTTGTTAAGGAGTGGAGGAGATACAGGTACAAGATAAATAACATTTAGAAGTTCTTTTTTGTTGTTTTTTTTTTTTTTTTGAGAGACGGAGTCTTGCTCTGTCGCCAGGTTGGAGTGCAGTGGCGCGATCTTGGCTCACTGCAGCCTCCACCTCCCGGGTTCAAGTGATTCTTCTGCCTCAGCCTCCTGAGTAGCTGGGACTACAGGCTCATGCCACCATGCCCAGCTAATTTTTGTATTTTTAATAGAGACGGGATTCCCCCATGTTGGCCAGGGTGGTCTCGATCTCTTGACCTCATGATCCGCCCTCCTTGGCCTCCCAAAGTGCTGGGATTACAGGCATGAGCCAGTGCACCTAGCCCAGTATTTTTTTTTTTCTTAAGGTAAAATTCCTATAAAATACAATTTATGATTTGAAATATGTAGTTAACCATTTTAAATCTACGGTTAAGTGGCTTTTAGTTCATTCACAGTGTAACATGTGCAGCCACCACCGCTGCCAAACTCTAGAACATTTTCATCACCCCAAAAAGAAACCCCATACCTATTAAGCAGTCCCTCTCTTTGTTCCCTGGCAACCACAGTCTGATTTTTGTCCTATGGGTTTGCCTATTCTAAACATGTCACATAAATGGAATCATAATACCTGGCCTTTTGGGGTTTTTTTTGTTTATTTTATTTTATTTGAGACGGAGTCTCACTCTGTCTCCCAGGCTGGAGTGCAGTGGTGTGATCTCGGCTCACTGCAACCTCCGCCTCCCGGGTTCCAGGGATTCTCCTGCCTCAGCCTCCCGAGTAGCTGGGATTACAGGTGCACACACCACACCTGGCTAATTTTTTTTTTTTTTGTAGAAACGGTTTCACCATGTTGGCCAGGCTGGTCTTGAACTCCTGACCTCAAGTGATTGGTCCGCCTCAGCCTCCCAAAGTGCTGGGATTACAGGTGTGAGCCATTGCACCCGGCTTGCCCTTTTGTTTTTAGCTTCTTTCACTTAACAGTGTTTTTATTCATCCATGTTGTAGCAAGTATCAGTACTTCATTCCTTTCTTATGGCATAGTAATATTCCATTGTATGGATACACCACGTTTTGTGTACCTGTTCATCAGTAGGCTGTTCTGAATAATGCCGCTTTTTTGCTATTATGAATAATGCTGCCTTGAATATTCTTGTATAAGCTTTTGTTTGAACATACATTTTCAGTTCTCTTGAGTATGTAACCACTGTATTTCTTTTGATAAGTTTATTATCATATAAAGTAGAAAGTTTTCCAATGGCTTGACTTTGGATAAAGTGCTGAAAGAATGCTACTTTCTCCTGGAATATGGTATTCCTTAGTGAATACTGAAATCACATAATTTTCTTGTTGTCTTTATAGAATAAAGAATTTTGGTCCAGATAGGGTAACAGTAGGTAGCCTTCCTCTAGAATTCTGTCAGAAGAACATCCTGAGTTATGTGAACCATTCAGTTATCTATCTGAGAGCAGCAAGTGGTCTCTCACTGTGCAGTTGGGTTATGAGGTCTGCTAGTGGTCTCAAGCAGTCTCTGAGTGTATGAATTGCATTTAACATTATGTATTCAAGCCGGGCACAGTGGCTCACGCCTGTAATCCCAGCACTTTGGGAGGCTGAGGTGGGTGGATCATGAGGTCAAGAGATCGAGACCATCCTGGCCAACATGGTGAAACCCTGTCTCTACTAAAAATACAAAAATTAGCTGGGCGTGGTCGTGGGCGCCTGTAATCCCAGCTACTCGGGAGGCTGAGGCAGGAGAATTGCTTGAACCCAGGAGGCGGAGGTTGCAGTGAGCCGAGATTGCGCCACTGCACTCCAACCTGGTGACAGAGTGAGACTCTGTCTCAAAAAACAAACAAACAAAAAAACCTATTATGTATTCAGAGGGATAGTAGGCAGGATTCCCATTCTGTAATCTATTTGGCATCAGTGATGTTACAGAGATTTTATTCTAACCACATTCCCTCAGGTTTGAACTATAATAGAATAGCATCAAATATTGTTTTCCTTTTTTCTATTTTTTGAGATGAAGTCTCTCTGTCTCACCCAAGCTGGAGTGCAGTGGCACGATCTCAGCTCACTGCAACCTCTGCTTCCTGGGTTCAAGCAATTCTCCTGCCTCAGCCTCCCGAGTAGCTGGGATTACAGGCACCCGCCATCATGCCTGGCTAATTTTTGTGTTTTTGTAGAGACGGTTTCACCATGTTGGTCAGGCCGGTCTTGAACTCCTGACCTCAGGTGATCCTTTTTCTACTTCAACACCTGACCCCAAAGCTTTGTTCTGCAGTGATTGCTTTGACACCTTTGCTTTGACAAATTCATTTTCCTCAGGAAGACTTGGCAAAAGTTTTCTTCTTTTGCCAGTTTGGGACAACCTGACCAATTCATTGAAACCTATTGTTGTTTTTCAGATTTCTTGAAAACAAGGAACATTCTTTGCTGTAGCTTATTTATTTACTTATTTATGTAGAAACAGGGTCTCACTTTGTCACCCAGGCTGGAGTGCAGTGGTGCAATCAAAGCTCACTGCAGCCTGGACCTCCCGGGTTCAAGCAATCCTCCTGCCTCAGCTCCCCGAGTAGCTGGGACTGCAGGTGTGTCCCACCGTCTCTGGCTAATTTTTGCATTTTTTGTAGAGATGAGGTTTCACCATGTTGCCCAGGCTGGTTTTGAATCCTGCGCTCAAGCAACCTGCCTGCCTCAGCCTCCCAAAATGCTAGGATTACAGGTATGAGCCACTACGCCCTGCCTGCTGTAGCTCATTTGTAAATGACTTTCGAGTTCCATTGAGACAGTGAAAAAAATCGATAAATTATATATTGACCACCATTTTTTTTTATCTCAAAGAATTTCTCTGTAGGCAAGCCCTTCAAAGATTTTGAAAACCACTGTTTATGTAGTAGAATACTAAGCTGGAAACAAGGAGGTTTTAGTTTTAATTTTATTTCTTCAAAAGACTCTGTTATCAGACAAATAGCTTGTACTTTAGAGCTTCATTTTATAAAGAAGAAATAATATTGACTGTGATTTGTAGGAAAGTGTGATGGGAACTGAGTTCTAATTCTAATAATCAGGGTACTTTGAAGTTTGTGGAAGACAAGCATGTTGGAAGATATGTATAAATTCTTTTTTTATTTTATTTTGTAGAAATGGGGTTGCACTATGTTGCCCAGGCTGGTCTCCAATTCCTGGGCTCAAGTGATCCTCCCGTCTCAGCCTCCCAAAGTACTGGGATTACAGGTGTGAGCCACCATGCCCAGCCTGAAAATTCTTGATATTGCTTTTTTCTTTATTTTAATAATGTAAATGATTCTGCTCATACTATTATAAAAGTCTTTGTCCAGTATGCGTGTATATTTTGTTTATTCATATATTTTACCTTTTTTTGGTGCTCTTTGTTCTTTTGTATAGTTCTAGATTTCTGTGTGGTATGATTTTCCTTCTGATTGAAGGATTTCTAATGTTTCTTGTAGTGCACATTTGCTGACAATGAATCCTTTTAGTATTTGGACATCTGAAGACTTTAATTTGTTTTTAGTTTTCGAAACTGTTTTCACAGGATATGTAATTACTGTTGACGTTTCTTTATGATGCTGTTTCACCATCTTCTGGCCTGCATTGTATCCAATGAGAAATCTGCTTTCATTGGGTTTATTTTTCTGTATGTAATGTGTGGTTGTTTCCTTCTGGCTGCTTTTATTTTTCTTTCAAAAATATATTTTTTCTTTTTTTAATTTAATTTTTTTATTTCTAAAATAAAATAAAATAGACGCGAGGTTTCACCATCTTGTTTCACCATGTTGGTGAAACCAAGTTGGTCAGGCTAGTCTTGAACTCCTGGCCTCAAGTGATTGATCCCTCTTGGCTTCCCAAAGTGTTGGGATTACAAGTGTGAGCCACTGCTCCCAGCCCAAAAAATATATTTTTTTTATTGTGGTAAAATACATATAATTAAAAATTTACCATTTTAACCATTTTTTGTTTGTGTGTTTTTGAGACAGCGTCTCGCTCTGTCACCCAGGGTGGAGTGCAGTGGTGTAAACATGAATTACTGCAGCCTTGACCTCCTAGGTTCAAGTGATCCTTCCACTTCAGCCTCCTGAATAGCTGGGACCACAGGTGCCTGTCACCATTCCTGGCAAATTTTTACAGTTTTTTGTAGAAATGGGGCCTCACCATGTTGCCCGGACTGATCTCAAACTCCTGGGGTCAAATAATCCTCCCATGTTGGTCTCCCAAAGTGCTGGGATTACAGGCATGAGTCAACACACCCGGCCCATTTTAACCTTATTGATTGATTGATTGTCTCGCTCTGTCACCCAGAGTAGAGTGCAGTGGTGCGATCTCAGCTCACTGCAACCTCCGCCTCCCGGGTTCAAGCGATTCTCCTGCCTCAGCCTCCCAAGTAGCTGGGATTACAGGCATGTGCCACCATACCTGGCTAATTTTGTGTGTGTGTGTGTGTGTGTGTGTGTGTTTTTAGTAGAGGCAGGGTTTCACCACGTTGGCCAGGCTGGTCTCGAACTCCTGACCTCAGGTGATCTGCCCACTTTGGCCTCCCAAAGTGCTGGGATTACAGGCATAAACCACCACGCCTGGCTGATTTTAACCATTTTTAAGTGTGGTGTTCAGTAATGTTAAATACATTCATAATGTTGTGCAACCATCACTATCATCCATCTCCATTACTCCTTTCATCTTGCAAACTGAAAGTCTTTTAAACACTAACTCCCCAGACCCCCTCCTCTGGCCTCTGGAAGCCACTATTCTACTGTCTTTGAATTTGACTACCCTAGGTACCTCATATAAGTGGAATCATACAGTACTTGTCTTTTTGTGACTGTCTCCTGTCACTTAATATAATGTCCTGAAGGTTCATCCATGTTGTAGTATTTTTCAGAATGTTCTTTCTTTTTAAGACTGCATAGTATTCCATTGTATATGATATACCACATTTTGCTTATCTATGCATCTGTTCATGGACATATGACACTTGAGTTGCTTCCACTTTTTGGCTATCATGAATAATGCTGCTGTGAACATGACTGTACAGATATCTCTTACAGACCACACTTTAAATCTTTTTTGCTATAAACCCAGAAGTGGAATTGCTGGATCATATGGTAATTCTATTTTCATTTTTTTAGGACTTCCATACTGTTTTCCCCAGTGGCTGTAGCATCGTACATTCCTATCAGCAGTGCACAAGGGTTCCACTTTCTCCATATCCTTGCCAGCACTTGTTGTTTTCTGTTTTTTTTTTTTAATCATAGCTATCCCTAATGGGTATGAGTGGTATCTGATTGTAGTTTTGATTTGCATTTCCCTAATTATTTGTGATATTGAGCATCTTTTTATGTGTTTATCAGCCATTCATGTATCTCCTTCGTAGAAATATCCTTTGCCCATTTTTATCAGGTTGTTTTTGTTTTGAGTTTTAAGAGTTCTCTGTATATTCTGGATGATAGATGATCTGTAAATATTTTCTCTCATTCCATATTCCTCTGGCTCCTTTTAAGATTTTTCTTTATGTCTGGTTTCAAGGAATTTGATTTTGTTGTGCCCTGGTGGAGTATAAGCTTTCTTTTGAGTTTTTTGCTCTTGTTGTTAAGCTTTTGGAGTTTGTGGGTTTATACTTTTCATCAGATTTGGAACATCTTTGGCTATTATTTCTCCAAATAGTCACACATCGCTCCTCGGATTCCAGTTACATATATATTATTAGGTTCTTGAAGTTGTCCCATACCTTACTGATGCTCTGCTCTTTTTCTTTGGTCTTATATTTTGGGTTTCATTTTGGATAGTTTTTATTTCTGTGTCTTTACATTCACTCGTCTTTCCTTCTGCTGTGTCTTGACTGCTGCTAGTTCCATCCAATGTATTTCATTTTATATATTCTATAATTTGTGGTTTGATAGAAATGCAGTGATGTAGCAGGTATCAATAAATACTGCCTTAATTTGTTGCGAAAATATAACAGATTTCTTGTTCTGTATGTTAGCTAAAAAGGTATGCAAACCACCCTGTATGTCATATTAACATTTATGTCCCTTTGTTTTCATGTCAACTTTTAGTTTCTCTGCCAAAACCTACATATGTTTTTTTTATATGATTATTCTACATTTTCTGCTGAGAGTGGACATCTGCATTAGTAGTTCTATGATATTTGTTTTATAAGTTGCCAGAATGGTTGCTCTGTTTGGCAGACTGCAGACAAATATTTATCTATGATTCGTTGCATGATATGACCATGATTTTGCTACAAAAAACTTGAAATAGATTTTAATATTTTCTTTACTATTATCAGAGAGAGAGCTGGATTACCTGCAAAAGTGTACTTTTGCTTATTGCTGTCATTGATAACTCAGTGCCAGCTGGGCGTGGTCACTGGTATTACCTCCATGTGATCACTTTTTGTTCACTAATGTTAATTTAAAAAATTTTAGGCTGGGCGCAGGTGGCTCACACCTGTAATCCCAGCACTTTGGGAGGCCGAGGCAGGGGGATCATGAGGTCAGGAGATCAAGACCAGCCTGGCCAACATGGTGAAACCCAGTCTCTACTGAAAATACAAAAATTAGCCTGGCATGGTGGTAAGCGCCTGTTATGCCAGCTACTTGGGAGGATGAGGCAGGAGAATCGCTTGAACCTGGGAGGTGGAGGTTGCAGTGAGCCAAGATTGCACCATTGCACTCCAGCCTGGGCAACAAGAGCAAAACTCTGTCTCAAAAAAAAAAAAAAAAGAAAAAAAATTTGCAGCCTGAGAACTGATATACTTCAGACCAGAAGTATTTCAGATTTTTTTTAGATTTTGGAATATTTGTATTATACTTATCAGTTGAGCATCCCTAGTTGGAAAGTCTGAACTCTGAAATGCTCCAATGAGTGTGTCTTTTGAGCATCATGTTGGGACTCAAAAGTTTTCAGATTTTGGGGCATTTTGGGTTTTGGCCTTTCAAAGTTGGGATGCTCAGCCTGTCATTGCTTGTCAGACAGTCATTTGCATTCAGTAGTTCTTTCTCCTTTTCTTGCTTCTCTGTCCCAGCAGGTATTAATCTCTGGAGAAGACACATCCACAGTTAGCACTTTCTTCAGATGCTGACGCTCGGTGAACAGTTGCCTTTGGTCACAAGATTTAGAAGACACAGTGTCCATCCTCCCAGATTGGATCTCTTTTTCATATGGATCTTCTGTTTCTATGTCTTTTTAAAAAATAACTTTTTGGGAAACCTTTTGGATTACAACTGTTCATCCTCACCTATGCAAAGAAAGGGAAGCTATTGCTGGGATTTTGAGGAGGTATGTCGTTTTTTCTTCTACTGCAAAATCACATCACCCAGGCACTCAGAACAGTATAAAATAATTATACTTTCCTCTCTATAACTCAGTTCTCATTCATTTACTTGTTCCATCTTCCTTTCTCCCATTTTCTCTTTTTTTCTAGCACCTGTAGCTCAACAAGAACTTTCTTAATGTATATAATGAAACAGCTCATTTCCTACATTCTTCCTGAATGTTATTAGACACGGGATTAGACTTACAAGTAACGGGGAGCAGCTTGAATTTTTTTCTTTTAAATTAAATCTTTATTTTTTATAATAGAGACAGAGTCTTGCTGTATTGCCCAGGCTGGTCTCAAACTCCTGGGCTCAAGTGATCCCCCACCTCAGCTTCCCAAAGTGCTGGGATTACAGGTGTGAGCCACTGTGCCCAGCTGTAGCTTGCATTCTTATTTCTCAAATTGAAATTGTGACTTGGGTAAACTGAATTTGTTCTCATTCTGCATAGACACTGGATGGTTTAGGAAAGCTTAGTAACGTTAGCATAATATTATGGCTGTATGATTTCATAGTCTGGTTCAGTTTCATTGGCAAGAGGAGGTGTGATATTGTAGAGTTTTGAACTAAAAATTGAGACTTCAGTCCCAGGTTTGACATTATTACTTCCATGCTTTGAGAGTTAAAGTATGTTTGTTTTCTCACCTTTAAAATGGGCTTATCATTACTTGCTTTACACAGCTCATGGGGTTATTGAGAATCAGATAAGAAAATTTGCATGAAAGATTTTTATCAATGTAAAGGATTGTTATTGCGTTGTAGACAGTTATAGGTATATCTGTTGTTTTCACTCAAAGACTCAATTTTTCTTTCTGAAAACCTTTTTTTTTAAGACAACGTCTTGTTCTGTTGCCCAGGCTGGAGTGCAAGGGTGCAGTCGTAGCTCACAGCAATCTCACATTCCTGGGCACAAACAGTCCCCTGCATCAGTGTCTCAGGTAGCTGGGACTGCAGGCATATGCCACTGTGATCAGCTAATATTTTTATTTTTTGTAGAGATGAGGGTCTCGCTATGTTGCCCATGCTGGTCTCGAACTCTTGGGCTCAAGTGATCCTTCCACCTCGGCCTCCCAAAATCCAGGGATTACAGGCATGAGCCACCATCCCTGGCCTGAAATAAATAAATAATGCATAAATGTCATTTTTAAATTTATGATGACAAATTCTAAAGAGAAAAGTAAAAGGAAAGCAGGAATAGAATGTATTGAGGGGAAGGGGTTGAGTGTTCACAGATGGCTTCATACAGAAGGTGACATTTGAGTAAGGGCTTGAAAGAAGTGAAGGAGTGAGCCATACACATATATGAGAAGAGCATTCTAGGCATAGTGAATCACAGTGTACATGTCCTGAGACAGAAGCTTGCCTGAGGAATGGTGAGGGTGGGTCCTTATTTTGTGGTGCTTTATGGAAGTGCTTTTCAAACTTCAATGTGCACATGAATTACCTTGGGGGTTTCTATTAAAATTTAGACTCTAATTTCATAGGTCTGGGGTAGGGCCTAATTCTAATAAGCTCCCAGGTGCTGCTGCTGCTGCTGGTCTTTGTAGGACTTCAGCATTTACACTGAGCAAAATAGGAAGTCTTTGGAGCGTTTGGGCAGGGTGACATGATCTGATTTATATTTTGACATTTTCATTTCTTTGGCTGCTGAGTAGATAGTGGTGGATTGGGCAAGGACAAAAGCAGAAATACTAGTTTGGAGCCTATTACTGTAATCAAGGTGAGAGAAAATGTGGTTTGTGCTAGAGAGTAGCAGTGACTGTGGTAACATGATCTGATTCTGGATATATTTTTCAAGTAGAGTCAGCAGGTTTTGCTGATAGATTGGATATGTGCTGTGAAAGAAAGGAAAGAGTTAAGGTTTTTGTATTGAGTTTCTGGAAGAATGCAGTTGTCATTTATTGAGATGGAGAAGACTGAAAGAAAGAGAAACAAGTTTGCAGGAGAAGTAACAGAAGCTCAGTTTTAGACATAAATTAAACATGCCTATTAAGACTTAGAGATGTTGGCCAGGCGCAGTGGCTCACGCCTGTAATCCCAGTGCTTTGGGAGGCCGAGGCGGGCAGATCACCTGAGGTCAGGAGTTCAAGACCAGCCTGGCGAATGTCGTGAAACCCCATCTCTACTAAAAAAAAAAGTAAAAAATTACCTAGGCATGGTGGTAGGCGCCCGTAATCCCAGCTACTTGGGAGGCTGAGGCAGGAGAATCACTTGAACTTGGGAGGTAGAGGTTGCAGTGAGCCGAGATTGCGCCATTATACTCCAGCCTGGGCTAAAAGAGCGAAACTCTGTCTCAAAAAAAAAATAAAAATAAAAATAAAAACATTAAAAAAAAAGCTGGTCACGGTGGCTCACGCCTGTAATCCCAGCACTTTGGGAGGCCGAGGCGGGTGGATCATGAGATCAGGAGATCAGGAGATCAAGATCACCCTGGCTAACATGGTGAAACCGCATGTCTATTAAAAATACAAAAAATTAGTTGTGCGTGGTGGCACATTCCTGTATTTCCAGCTACTTGGGAGGCTGAGGCAGGAAAATTGCTTGAACCTGGGAGGTGGAGGTTGCAATGAGCCAAGATTGCGCCACTGCACTCCAGCCTGGGTCATAGAGTGAGACTCTCTGTCTCAAAAAAAAAAAAAAAAAAAAGACTTAGGGATGTTGAGTAAACAGTTGGGTTTATGAATCTGGAATTCAGGAGAGAAGGATCTGCTGGACATATACCTCTGGGTATTGTTAAAATAGATTATATTTAAATCCAGAAAGCTGGATGAGATCTCCAATTAAGTGAGTAGAGATGGAAGTAAGAAGCAGTTGAAGAACTTAATTTCCAGAGTTTAGAGTTGGGGAAGATGAGAAGGAAACATCAAGGAAGACTTAGTAGCAGTGGCTGGAGAGTTAAGATGAGAACTAGGTTAGAGGGTATCCTGGAGTCTAATGAGGAAAGTGTTTCAAGGAATAGGGAGTGATCAACTGTGTCAAATACTACAATTGAGATGAGGGCTGAGAATTAACTATTTGATTTAACAATGTGGCAGTTATTGGTAACCTTGATAAAGGGTAGTTTTAGTGGAGCGGTTGGAGGTTAAAGACTGATTGGAGATGTTGTCTTTCCAAATGCAAAACATTTCCTAAACCCTGATGAGACTGGGTATTCAGATAAAAATCTGTAACTCTGGGTAGATGTTCTTGGCAGGAGAAGATTTAAGATATGTAAGTAATATTATTAACAACTGTCTTTATTAATTATTCATTTAAAGTAATATTGGAAAATTTACTTTGAGGAGATCTTCAGGGTTTATTTATTTATTTATTTTGAGATGGAGTCTCGCTCTGTTGTCCAGGCTGGAGTGCAGTGGCACGATCTCAGCTCACTGCAAGCTCCGCCTCCCAGTTTCACACCATTCTCCTGCCTCAGCCTCCCGAGTAGCTGGGACTACAGGCGCCTGCCACCATGCTTGGCTAATTTTTTTTTGTATTTTTAGTAGAGACGGAGTTTCACCATGTTAGCCAGGATGGTCTCGATCTCTTGACCTTGTGATCCTCCCGCCTCAGCCTCCAAAAGTGCTGGGATTACAGGCGTGAGCCACCGCGCCCAGCCCTTCAGGGTTTATTTTTTTTAATTTTATTTATTTATTTTTCTGTAGAGATGAGGTCTGCATATGTTGCCCAGGCTGGTCTCAAACTCTTGGCTTCAAGCAATCCTCCTGCCTCAGCCTTCTAAAATGCTGAGATTATAGGCATGAGCCACTGAACCTGGCTCCTTTATTTTTGATTCATGTCTTCAGGATTTTAAAAATTGTCCTTAGCAATTATTATGAAAAAGAAAAAATGTAAGGATTGGCTAGGAGCTAATTGGCTGTCAGCTACTCTTCTTTCTTAGGTTATAGGGCTGAAAGGCACTTTAAATATAGTCTTTGTTCTGTCAGTGGGGCTTGTGAGAACCTCTTCACACTTATATTTATTCTTTTTTTTTTTTTTTTTTTTGAGCCAGGCATTAAACCTGGGTTCAAATCACTAGTGCTTACTTAAGTCATTGTAAAGCAGTTAGCAGGTTGTGTTCAACATAGCAATTATCAAAAGAATGAAGGTATAACTTTAAGGACCAATGATATTTTAAACTTTTTTTTTTTTTTTTTGAGATGAAATCTTGCTCTTGTTCCCCAGGCTGGAGTGCAGTGGTGTGATCTCGGCTCACTGCAACCCCGTCTCCCAGGTTCAAGCAATTCTCCTGCCTCAGCCTCCCAGGTAGCTGGGATTACAGGCATGTGCCATCACACCCAGCTAGTTTTTTGTATTTTTAATAGAGACGGGGTTTCTCCGTGTTGGTCAGGCTGGTTTTAAACTCCCAATCTCAGGTGATCCGCCCGCCTTGGCCTCCCAAAGTGCTGGGATTACGGGCGTGAGCCACGGCACCGGCCCTATTTTATTATTCTTTGGTAAAAGTATCCAGTCTATGTAGCATACTCAGCCAGATGAGCTTATGTAAATAACCAAAGTGGGTGGGTGTGGTTAGACATAACTTATTCTTGGCTTTTATGGAAGACCTCTTTTTCTTCATTTGTTTATTAAAAAAAATATGTATTGCTTACTTTCATATTTGTTGGCCCTGTTGTAGGTGTTGGAGATACAGTGGATAAAAGTTTCTACCCTAATGGAGTTTATGTTTTAGTGGAAATGAAATAACAGATTGGGGCCAAGACTTGTTAGTGGTCTCACACTGGTATGAGTAATCTTTTTTGGGTGTGTTTGTGTTGTTTTTTTTTTTTTTTTTTTTTTTTTTGAGATGGAGTCCTCCTCTGTCCCCTAGGCTGAAGTGCAGTGGTGCGATCTTGGCTGACTGCAACCTCTGCCTCCAGGGTTCAAGCGATTCTCCTGCCTCAGCTGCCAAGTAGCTGGGATTACAGGCGCCGGCTACCTCACCCAGCTAATTCTTTTTCGTATTTTTAGTAGAGACAGGGTTTCGCCATGTTGGCCAGGCTGGTTTCGAACTCCTGACCTTAGGTGATCACCTGCCTCAGCCTCCCACAGTGCTGGGATTACAGGTGTGAGCCACCGCACCTGGCCATTTTTTTTTTTTTTAAATAGCAATGGAATCTTGCTGTATTGCTCAGGCTAGATGAACTACTGGGCTCAAGTGATCCGCCTACCTTAGATCCTGAGTAGCTGCGACTACAGATGTGCCACCATGCCTGCTTCTGGTATTGGTCATCTTAATGCAGTGTGGGCATATGGAAAACCCAGAGAAGGTTGTTATGAGCTGATTTTCCTTTCCGACAACTTAAGACAGTACTCAAATATTGTGGAGAATAAGGAAAACAGAGTTAAGTAATTATCTGACAGACTTTGATTATGAAGAGAAAGGTTCAAATATATGAAGTTTATTTTCTACTTTTCATTTTATTTTATTTATTTTTTTAGAGATAGGGTCTTGCTCTTGCTCAGCTGGAGTGCAGTGGTGCAATCATAGCTCACTGCAACTTCAAACTGCTGGGCTCAAGCCATCCTCCCACCTCACCCTCCCAAGTAGCTAGGACTACAGGTGTGCGCCACCATACCCAGCTAATTTTTGTATTTTTTGTAGAGATGGGGTCTTGCTATGTTGCCCAGGCTGGTCTTGAACTCCTAGTCTCAAGCAGTCATTCCACCTCAGCCTTGCAAAGTGTTGGGATTATGGACATGAGCCACTGCACCTGCCCTGTATGTTTTATTTATTTAATTTGTTTTTTGCAGAGATAGGGTGTTGCTATGTTGACAACGCTGATCTTGAACTCCTGGGCTTAAGCAGTCCTCCCACCTCAGCCTCTCAAAGTGCTGGGATTACAGGTGTGAACCACTGCGCTCAGTTCTAGCCGCTATTTTTTAGATTCTTAGATGCCGTAAGTGGCAGCTTGTGGAATTGATTCCATAGTAAATTGAGTCAGAAGACATTTGAGAATCTATTATAGGCAAGGCATTATGCCAGGTGCTGGTAGGCAAACAATAATTTTTAGGTACTTTGTAGAAATAACAGCTTTGAGTCACTTTGAGAATTCTCTTATGTGTAATATGAGTCTAAAAGAAGTTTTTAACATTTTTATTTCAAACTCATTTTGAATAGGAATATGCAGATGTTGAAACCATAGAAATGAAAGTCTCACTTTAATCCCTGATTCCTGGTCCTTACTTCTCCTCCTTAGTAACAACCATTTTTACCTCTTTTTGTGTCTCCTTCCAGATATTTTATGTACATATTTGTGTATATATGTACATATATATTTATATTACCTTTAAAAAACTCAAATAGAGGTCTACTGTTCAAACAGTTCTATACCTTGCTTTTTTCCCTCATACAATATAGTTTGAGCATCCCAAATTTGAAAATCCAAAATCTGAAATCTTTTGGGTACCAACATAACACTCAAAGAAATGCTGCTTGGATTTGGGATGCTTGCCTGGTAGGTATAATGCAAATATTTCAAAATGTGAAAAAATCTGAAATCTAAAACACTTCTGGTTCCAAGCATTTTGGACCAGGGATTAACCGTATGCTACTTATAGCCCATGTCATTAAAAAACAGTATTTTTAAACTTATTATTTTTATTTTTTAGAGACATGGTGGCACTCTGTCACCTATGCTGGTGTGTAGTGGTGCGTGTGATCGTAGCTAACTGCAGCCTTGACCTCCTGGGCTCAAGGGATCCTCTTGCCTTATCCTCCCGACTAGCTGGGACTAGAGGCGTGCACCACCACGCCTGGGTAGTTTAAAAAATTTTTCGAGACAGGGTCTTGCTATGTTGCCCAGGTTGATCTCAGACTCCTGGCCTTAAGCAATCCTCCCATTTCCACCTCCCAAAGTGCTGGGATTATGAGTGTGAGTCACCACACCTGGCCAACTTGTGTCCGTTTTTTTTTTTTTTCAGCTGCATAGTGTTTCATGTTATGTATTTCCTGTGATTTTTTTTCTTTTGGGTTTTTCGTATGTCCACACTGCATTAAGACAACCAGTGTTAGTCTTGAGACCACTAACAAGTCTTATCCCCAATCTGTGTCATTTCCACTAGAATTAAAGCTCCATTAATTTCCAAGGATAGGCTGGGCGCGGTGGCTCATGCCTGTTATCCCAGCACTTTGGGAGACTGAGGTGGATGGATCACCTGAGATCAGGAGTTTGAGACCAGCCTGGCCAACATGGCAAAACCCCATCTCTACTAAAAATACAAAAACTAGCCAAGCGTGGTGGGGGGTGCCTGTAATCCCAGCTGCTCGGGAGGCTTGAACCCGGGAAGTGGAGGTTGCAGTGAGCCGAGATTGTGCCACTGCACTCCTGCCTGGGCAACAGAGCAAGACTCCGGATCTCAAAAAAAAAAAAAAAAATTCCATGCGTAGACAAAATATATATCATTAGGATACATTCAATTGTAAATAATGGAAGTAATAATTTAAAAAACCCCAGGAAATCTAATAGTGACTTAAGCTGTAAAAATATTTTATTGTCTTATATAAACAGAAGCAACGAGATAGGTAATTCAGCACTAGTTTGGTAGCTCAGCAATATTTAGGACCCACATTTTTCCCCTCACCTTTATTTTCCTCATTATGTTGGCTTTTCAGCCTCCCTGTGTCACCTTTTGGTTGCATCATGGCGCCTCATCTCCAACCAGCACAACCAACTGCATTCAAAAACAGGATATGGAGGGCAAAACATTTTTTTACTGGGAAGATGCTGTCATTTTACATGGGAAGGAAAGAAATTCCCAGAAGTCTCCTAAACAGTGCTTCGTGAACTTTAGTGTGCATAGAATTACATGGGGAGCTTGTTAAAATACAATTCATATTGCATATTTGTGGGATATACTTCCAGAGATTCTGAAATGCATAGGTTTGGAGTAGGGCCTGAGAATTTGTATATCTATTAAGCTCCCATGTAATGCTGATGCTGTGGGGTCAGCAGACCATGCTTTTGAGTGCACTTCCTGTGTAATGTCTCATTACATTTCACTGGGATTTATAGTGCTGCCCCTCACTCCAAGTGTGTCTAGGAAAGAGAATATGATAGCCATATTGCCTGAAACCAGTCATTACTATCTTGAACAAAATGTGAATTCTGGTTAATGAGGAAGAAGGGAGAAATGGCTGTTGGAATAACAACTGTGGCTAGCACTTTTGCTGTTACAAATAATGCTGCGTGAATACTGGTGCTCTGAAGAAAAGGTAGATATAATTAAATTTTTAACAGATATTTTCAAAATTTTCTCTAAAGACCTTAGTTGGAATTATTTTACAATCAGCAGTCTATGAGAGTGCTTGTTTCTCCATTATCTTTACAACTTAGATGTGTTATCAAACATTTTGGTCTTTGCCAATCTGATAGGTAAAAAAAATGGTATCACTTCGTAGATTCATTTGCATTGCTCTCATGCATGAGGTTGAAGAACTTTTCATCTATATGAAAATCATGTATCTTTTTTTGTGAGCTGGCTGTCCATGTTAGACTTTGATTCTTTTTTCATTGATTACACATTTTTTCTTTTTTCAAATTTTAATTCCTGTTTAACAACATCCTAACAGTTTTTTTTCTTATGAATTTGTAGGAGCCGTTTATGTAATGGAATTAGCTTATGTGTTGCAAATTTATTTTCCCAGTTTGTTAGTCATTTGACTTGGTTTGCTTATTTTGATGTAGAGCTTAGTTGTGGTTACACGGGATTGTAAATTCTGTTGCTAAGTTGTGTGGATTGAGATCTCGAATAATGGTATAAGTATGCTTACCAAAAAATTTATAAATGATACTAAAACTGGGAGGTTTATCTAATATGTTGCATCAAAGAAAATCAAGATGATTTAAGTACGTATGAGGTATGAAAGTGTCAAGGTGGGTGTAATAGAAATGTAAGATCCTATTCTTTTTTTTTTTTTTTTTTTTTTGAGACAGCGTCTCACTCTGTTGCCTAGGCCCAGTTTGGAGTGCGGTGGCCATGATCTCTGCTCACTGCAACCTCCACTTCCTGGGTTCAAGCAATTCTCCTGCCTCACCCTCCCAAGTAACTGGGATTACAGGCACATGCCACCACAACTGGCTAATTTTTGCATTTTTGGTAGAGATGGGGTTTTACTATGTTGGCAAGGCTGGTCTCGAACTCCTGACCTCAGGCTCTCCACCTGTCTCAGCTTTCCAAAGTGCTGGGATTACAGGTGTGAGCCACCGCGCCCAGGCAAGATCCTACTCTTAAACAGAAATTATCTGGCTCAAAAGTTTTGTTTTCATTTGATGAGTCCCATAATCTAAGGTAAGTTGTATGATTTGGCTGTTAAAAAAAAAGCTAACATTGGTGAACACTTACAGAGGTACAGTGCTAGATTAAAAGAAGTAATAGTCCCTTTGTTCTTGGACTGTCAGATTATATCTATGTTGTATCCATTCTTGGATGTTACATTTTAAAAGGACAGGGATAATCTAAATTTTCTAGATGAATGAGACCAGAATAGTGAGAGCTTTAGCTACCATATCTTTTTTTTTTTTTTTTTTTTTTTGAGATGGAGTCTTGCTCTGTCGCCCCCCCCCCCCCCCCCCCGCCAACCCGCGGAGTGCAGTGGCACGATCTGGGCTCACTGCAACCTCCGCCTCCTGGGTTCATGCCATTCTCCTGCCTCAGCCTCCTGAGTAGCTGGGACTACAGGCGCCAGCCACCACGCCTGGCTAATTTTTTGTATTTTTAGTGGAGATGGGGTTTCACCATGTTAGCCAGGATGATCTCGATCTCCTGACCTCATGATCTGCCCGCCTCGGCCTCCCAAAGTGCTAGGATTACAGGCGTGAGCTTCCACGCTGTCCAGCCTCATTAGCCACCATATCTAATGAAAAACAATTGAAGAATTAGGATTTTGGTACTGAAGATAATACTTGGAAATATAACTATCCAAATATATTCAGAAGTTGTAAGATTTCCTGATTTCTAGTGACCTCTTTCCTCATTGCTGATATTGGTACTGAAGAGAAAGTAGTGTCTTGATGACTTTAGTTTCTTATTAACTGGAGGAGAAAAAAATGAAATGTTTGTCAGTCAGCAAGAGTATAATGCTGAAAAAGGCAGTTCTTAAAAAAATGTGTAGACAAGTAGAATACTAGATAGGTACATGTGATTTCTTTATATTTTATTTTTATTATTTGAGAGAATTTTTCAAGACTAGTCTTTCAAGAACATATTTTGAGGATGCTGTCCTCAAGGATTGTTAAAGTTTATAATTTTACACTACATGATAAAAAGTAAAGGTTGCTGTAATGTAGAAGTTGGCAGGGATTTATGTGTTAAAACTAGCTTTAGTTCATAACTCTGCTACTTGCTGTGTATAGTGGGACATTTATGAGATTTAATTGTCTCTTCTGCTGTTGAGGACAGTATCTGCATCTCAGAGTTTTGTACACTGCAAATAATTTATGCTGAGCTTAATGCCTGGCATGTAGATGGCATAAAATTAATGCCAGGTATTTTTAGTGGCAACTGTTCTTGACAGCATTGCTTACATTTTTGGGTTTTCTATTTGTACATGTGCATCAAGGTAAGTTGGGAGGTTATATCAACAAATACATTTGTATCATCAAGCTTTACAAATATATCCCAAGAATTACTACCTATGGGGGTTTTTCCATACCACACCTAATTCACCTTCAGTTCTATGACACTGAGTGTTCAACAATTCCATTCAATTCTGACACTGTCTACCTGGAGTTAGTGTCAGATCTCAAGTTAAAGGGCTCAGTCCCAAAAGACTGCTGCTGCTTGAGATGCTAGTCACAAGTCTTGGGCCACCCACACTTCTGTCTGGCTTGGCTGCAAATTCAGGGGTTCTCGTGACCCCTTCCTCAGGTTCGTTAATTCACTGGAAAGACTCATAGAACTCAGGAAAACACTTATGTTTATCAATTTATTATAAAGGGTACAACTCAGGAACAGCTAAATGAAATAAATACATAGGGCAAGCTATGGGGGAGGGGTGTGAGGCTTTCATGTCCTCTCTGGGCACAAAACCCTCCCAGCACCTCCATGTATTCACTACCTGGGAATCTTTCCAAACCCCATCATTTAGTCAGTCCCCAGTTCCTCTCTCTTCCCCAAAGGTTGAGGAGTGGAGGACTAAAAGTTCCAATACTCTAATCGCTTGGTTGGTTCCCCTGGCAACCAGCCCTATCCTGAAGCTATCTAGAGGCCCACCAAGAGTCACCTAATTAGTATAAACTCAGGTGTGGTTGAAAGGAATACATTATGAATAACAAAAAGCGCTTCTGTTATTGAGGAAAACCTAAGGGTTTTAGGAGCTCTGCCAGGAATCAAGGACAAAGACCAAATATGTATGTTTCTTATAGCACACTACTATACATAAAACTAGATTTTGTTTTTAGAACAGAGGGCTGGGTTTCAGAATATCAGTATTGAATTCCTTAGGTCATTGATATATTTCTTTCTGTAGCCATAGGGTCACCAATTTGATTATTGGTAATGTCAGTAACATTTGTTTTGAGATCCTTTGATGAAAGGTTCCATTGAAACAGCTAGGCTGGGCGCAGTGGCTCACGCCTGTAATCCTAGCACTTTGGAAGGCCAAGGTGGGTGGATCACTTGAGGTCAGGAGTCCGAGGACCAGCCTGGCCAACATGGTGAAACCCCGTCACTACTAAAAATACAAAAATTAGCTGGGCATGATGGTGTGCACCTGTGATCCCAGCTCCTTGGGAGACTAAGGCAGGAGAATCACTTGAACCCAGGAGGTGGAGGTTGCAGTGAGCCAAGATTGCGCCACTGCACTCAAGCCTGGGCAACAGAGCAAGACTCTATCTCAAAAAAGAAAAGAAAAGAAACAGCTAAATGCCATATTCCTGAGGAGTCTTTATCAAATTCCAGTATTGTTTCTTTTTTTGCTTAGACATTTATTCTCAGATGGCTCTGCATGTGATGTGACAAAAACAGATAATTTTTTTCTGCCAGGAATAATGTTCATTTTTTCCAAACTGTTGGGTCATGAAATTTGGGTAGAAATGCCTTTTGGTGGTCTTAATCTCTTTATTGGTAAACAATAGTATGCGAATTTTCATAGCCAGAAAAGGAAGAGTAAATTGTTTGGAATTCCAAATTCTTTCCTGCTTGTATGGTTTTTCCCCCCTCTGCCTGCCTGTTTTAATGTATTTGTTAGAGATGTGGGCGTTGTCTTCTTGTAACACAGGGATTTCCTTAGAATGTGAGCCTTAAATTAATATTTTAAATGTTTTAGAACATCTATGGGAAGTATCTTGATGTACAAGAATGGGTACTAGTCTAACGTAGTGCCTAGCAGAGTTCTTGGCACGTATTAGGCACACAATAAATATGTTACTCTTCTAGAAGTTAGAAGCCTCTGTTCTAGCGTTTGTATGCCACAAACTATCTGTGTGACCTAGAGTCTTCATCTGTCGTCATCTTTAGAATCACTTGTCTTGTAGCTCTGACTCAGTGACTCAGTTTATTCTGGTCTTATTTTTTAAAAACTTATTTCTACTATGGCCTTAAAGTCAGTTTCTTGAAAATAAGCCAATGCAGTCACCAGATAGGATGAACTGGGAAGTGTTGTGAAATAAGCCACCTTCTGTGGCTTCAGTTATTTGCTTGGCTATATGTTCTTTCTTTACTCTGGTAGAGTTACATTAGATTTTCTACCCACACCAGGTTAGGACTAGATAATTTTTTAATTTAGAGACAGATTTAAACCTATCACTGAATTAGCATTTATTGAATACTAATGGTATTGTTAAGGAATTTAGATTTGATATGGCACTTCAAGAAGCCAGTGTGGAAAGAGGAAAACAGGAAAACTAGCTATTGAAGGCCATATGGTTTGTATTATGGAAATATAAAGAAGGAAGAGAATAGGTGACTGTTGAAGCGATTACAGGAGGATTTGATCTGTGTTCTCTATTTGTAATGTTGAAGAAGAAGGCTATCATTGCAAGTATGAAAAATAACATGGATGAAAGCATGGAGATACTTGAATCGTACATTTGTGTTTCTGTGTTTGTGAGACTAGCCCGCCCTACCCATTTGCTGACCTTTTGGAGACAAGCTTAGTTTTGAGTAAGGTCATTTTAAGATATGAAGAGTGGACTTTGAGAGGTAGAATTGAAACAAAGGAAATGAAGAAGTGTTTTTTTTTTTTTAACTCATAGGTAGGATGAATTGGACAAGGATGAGACTCGTGTAGGTGAGGACAGTTGGAAGGATCATGATGTCGTAATCTTGGAGTTAGGTGAAACAGGTATCAAAAAATAACTTTTCCTGTCCTATAGTGAGAATAAACATTTATAAAAATATTGTTGATAAAGAATTTGTTTTTCTTTAGTATTTGTTTTTCAAAAGTATTTCATTTGTTTTTCAAAAGTATTTCAAGTTTCAAACAGGAACTTTAAAAAATCTGTAGCATGTGACAAACCATTATTTTGTGATAATTTGCCTGTTTTTAGTGAATAAAACCAGTATATACATTTTGTATCTTTATGGTAAATAATGCCAAATGTATTGAATTTCTTATCTGTCCTGGATCTATGAGCCAAGATTTCTGTCTGTAGCAAATAGTGAAAATATAAAATATGGTCAGAAGTGGTGGCTCACACCTGTAATCCCAGCACTTTGGGAGGCCAAGGTGGGTGGATCACCTGAGGTTGGGAGTTCGAGACCAGCCTGACCAACATGGAAAAACGCTGTCTCTACTAAAAATAAAAAATTAGCCGGGCGTGGTGGCGCATGCCTGTAATCCCAGCTACTCGGGAGGCTGAGGCAGGAGAATTGCTTGAACCCGGGAGGCAGAGGTTGCGGTGAGCTGAGATCGAGCCATTGCACTCCAGCCTGGGCAACAAGAGCGAAACTCTGTCTCAAAAAAAAAAAAAAAACATATATATATATAAAATATATATTATGTATATATAATATATATTATGTATATATGTATATATAATATATGTATATATTATATATTATGTATATATGTATATATATTATATATGTATAATATATATTATATATATGTATGTATGTATATAGCTGTGGGTCTTTGTACACCATTAGGAAACAAATGAGAGATGAAGTCTCTAAAGCATAATGTGTATTTATTTCATAATCGTAAGTTTAGAAATCAGTAGGATAAAGGTCAGATTGGGTGTCAGGGCATCCAGAATAGTGGGTGTATTCCATTTTGATCTGCATATCTTATTCTGTTGTTGATTAAGAGCAGTGAGAGTCCATAAACTATGGTATATGATAGCTGTGATCTCTGATACAAGCTTCATGTAGATGACACTCAAATCTGCACATTCAGCTTGCACTTCCCTACTGCCTGCTGGACATCTGCATTTTGAGATCCCGCTGGTTCCTGAAACCTAGTGTGTCTTCTACCAAAGTCATTGGCATTTTGCAGTGATATTTTTTTGCATTCCCATAAACCTATACCTCCTCTAGTTTTACTTATCTTGATTAATGGCCCATCATTCATTTAGCCAACCAGTCTACAAAACTTGGGGTTTTCTTTAATTTCTTTCTTTTTTACTTCTGAAACATGTCTTCCCTGTTGAACCTTAAGAGTGTTCATTTATTCACTCATTCACTCGTTTATTCTGACATTTATTAAGCATCTATTATGTGCCAGACATTATGCAAGGAATTAAGGATATAGTGGAAAATAAGATCAATTTTCTGCTCTTACAGACCTTATAGTTCAAGCTTTCATCATTTTCTCCCTATCCTCTTTGGGCTATTTTGATAGCCATCCATATTTTTTCTGGTTATAAACATAATACATCCTTATTTTAAGAAGTGCAAGGATGCCAGGAGTGGTGGCTCACGCCTGTAATCCCAGCACTTTGGGAGTCTGAGGCAGGTGGGTCACTTGAGCCCACGAGTTTGAAACAAGCCTGGGCAACATGGCAAAACCCCGTCTCTATAAAAAAAAAAAAAAATGATGTGGTGTCATGTACCTGTACTTCCAGTGGGAGCTGAGGTGGGAAGATCTCTTGAGCCTGGGAGGTGGAGGTTGCAGTGAGCCCGGATTGCGCCTTGCACCACTACAGGGAAAAAAAAATGAATGAGAAGCCTGAGCTTTCTGGAGCAAATCTTACTGTTTGGGAGTGTAAGAGGCTAGTCTGACTTCTTGACCCTCCAGATTAAGATAGATGCTGTTCCTCTGGGCTTCCTCAGCACCCCAGGTTTCCCATCATGGCTCTTACCACTTTGTGGTGTTTCCCTACCTAGAACAAAGTCTCCTGTATCTTTTGTGTTTGTTGGGTCCAATGTAGTGCCTGGACGCCTAGTAGGCATTTCAAAGTTTGCCAAATGGATAAATGACTGTATTAATGTTTTTGGTTGCCAAACATATTCTTTAAAACCATTCACCTCTGTTTGCCTTCAGTTTTTATTTACCAAATAACCTTTTGGCATTAAATCAGTTTACCAAGGGGATTTTACTACAGGAAAAAAAAGAAGGTACTGACCATAACCTAATTGACAGTTAAAATTCTTTTTTGTTTGTTTTGTGAGACAGCATCTGACTCCCATCACCCAGGCTAGAATGCAGGGTGTGATCTCAGCTCTTTGCAGCCTTGATTTCCTGGGCTTAGATGATTCTCCTACAGGCTGATTTTTTGTATTTTCACTAGAGATGGGGTCTTGCCCTGTGGCCCAGGCTAGTCTCGAACCTGGGTTCAAGTGATCTGGCTGCCTCAGCCTCCCAGAGTGCTGGGATTATAGGTATGAGCCACCGTGCCCAGCCAGTAGTTATAATTCTTATAAATTTATTAAAAGACTGATGCTGTGGAACAGATGGGTATGAGAATTTGGATAATATAAACTATTTTTTTCCTGAGTGCAGTTATCACTTTGGATAAGTTACTGTCTAGTTTCTAATTGGGCATAGGTATAAATGTGGTGTGGTGAATAGAAGGCTAGATTCAACTTTGATTTGACTCTGCCACTTGCTAAGCTGTGAGATCTTAGGCAAGTCTCTTAGGATTATTGACTGCTCAGACCTAGTCCAACTTTAAAATTTTATGACTGAAATAAGAGCCATACTTCGTATCAATCTGTTGAGGCCTATGTGGGCTCCCAACCTTCTCTCTACAGATATGTGGACATGTGAAAAAAAGGGAAAATATAGTAAAAAGTATAGTGCCTTAGAACTCTTTTACAGAACTGCACAAGGATGCAAGAGGTGGTAGCACTGTGATGGTTTTTAGAGAGAGCATGAACCCGATAACTTCTTTTGCATTCTTTGCATTATTTCACAACTAGTTCTAGATAAAATAATTTTTTCTTTTGAGAACAAGGACATGGCATTTGGGGGTGTGTTGGGGATGGGGATGGAGAGGATGTTGATTTGGTTCTTACTTTTTTTTTAGCCTTATTCTTTTTTTTTCTTGAGATAAGAGTCTCGCTCTGTCACCCAGGGTGGAGTACAGTGGCACGATCTTGGCTCACTGCAACCTCCACCTCCCGGGTTCAAGCGATTCTCCTGCCTCAGCCTCCTGAGTAGCTGAGATTACAGGTGCGCGCCACCACGCCTGGCTAATTTTTGTATTTTTAGTAGAGACGGGGTTTCACCATGTTGGTTAGGCTGGTCTTGAACTCCTGACCTCAGGTGATCCGTCTGCCTCGGCCTCCCAAAGTGCTGGGATTACAGGCGTGAGCCACTGCGCCTGGCCTCTCTGGGTGACTTATTGAGTGAGGATTGGTTCTGTTCTTTTTCCCCTTATTCTTTTATTCTGCCCTTTTCCCCTTTTTCTTTTCACCTTCTCAGTAGAATCTCAGGATTCAATCTCTGTGAGGCATGAAGTTTAGATTATAGAACAGAGTTGGGAGACTTGTTTTTCTTCTTGATTTTTGAGGTACCAAGGCAAACTGCTTTACTTCTCCATGCCTGATTCCTTTTATTAAAAGAAAACAAAATCTTATTCTTACATCACATGCTTTGGGATAATAAGGTAATTTGTTGGAACACTTAAAAAATTCATTATTTAAAATTGAGGTATAATTTCCAGATCTTTTGATCCACAGATCAAAGATGTATATATAGCTTAATGAATTTTTACGTATGCATACAACAGTGTATGGGTACAGTATAACCAAGAATAAAGTAAAGGTATAGGACATTTTTATCCCCCTAGTAATTCCCTATGTCCCTTTCCAGTCAGTATCTTCTTTTTGAACACTTTGAGTGCTTTATTATTCATATGGAGAAGACAATGAAAACGAATCTTGACATCTTTTAGGTTTCACCTGAATTGAATCTTAAATTCTATGATAATAACATCTTAGCTATAGAAAATAAGGTCTTTAGACTTTTAGAAATGGATATGGCAAAATTGTGTTAAAATGCTTTCCTAATAAAATCCTAATCCAAGGTGCAGAGGGACTAGATTTACATTGATAAAGTGACACTGTTGTTTACCAGCATGTGTATATTTTTCCACGTAGACATTTCTGAAAGTTTTTGGGTTGTGAGAAAGTAAATTTATTTGGAAAGTTTATGTAAGTAAGAAAATGGAAATTGTTTAGTCAGATGAGTGATGAGCTTGTTTCAGGTCTTTGAATTCTATTTTTCCTTCTATCTGTGCTGTGTGTGACCCTGTGGATGAGGCCTAACCTCATTTGTTTCCATCTAATATTTATTCAGCACTTATTTTAAAATCTGAAACACTGTGCGTGAATCTTTTCAAAGTTCTGTGGTGCTATTTGAGCTCATCCCTTACTTTAGCTATTTATTATATGTCTTGTTTCCTAATTTGTATATACACCTTTTATTTTAGAAGTTTCGGATTTACAGGAATATTACAGATAGTACAGAGTATCTGTATGTCATGCACCCATTTCTCCTATTAACATTTTGCTTTACAGCTTTTTTGAGATATATTTTATATACCTTAAACTTCATTTTTCTTAGTGTACTTTTCAGTGGTTTTTAGTATATTCACAGAGCGGTACAACCATCACCACAACCTAATTCCAAAACATTTTCATCACCCCCAAAAGAAACTCTGTACCCATTGAGCAGTCATTCCACATTTCCACCCCACCTGCTCTATCCCTGTATAACTTCTAATCTATGTTCTTTTCCTAAGGATTTGCCTATTCTGGATGCTTCATATAAATGGAATTATACCATATGTGGTCCTTTGTGACTGGCTTCTTTTACTTAGCATAATTTCAACATTTATACATTTTGTTGTAGCATGTATCAGTATTTTGTTCTTTTTTATTGCCAAGTAAGATTCCATGGTATGGAGAATATAGCATGTTTTGTTTATCTTTTCATCAGTTGATGAACATTTACATTGGTTCCATTTTTTGGCCATTTTGAATAATGCTGTTAGGAACGTTTATGTACAAGGTTTTGTGTGAACTATACATATATGCCTAGAAATGGAATTGCTAGGAAATATGGTAACTCTTTTATGTTTAACATTTTGAGGAACCGTAAGGCTGTTTTCCAAAAACAAACTGCTTGGGCCATTTTACATTCCCACCAGCAGTGTATGAGGGTTCTAATTTCTACTTCTCTTTAACACTTGTTATACTTTGATTTTAACCACCCTAGTGGGTGTGAAATGGTACCTCATTGTGGTTTTATTTGTATTTCCTTAATGACTAACAAGGTGAGCATCTTTTAATGTGTCTTTTGGCCATTTGGATATTTTCTTTGGAGAAATGTTTATTTGAATTCTTTCTCTGTTTTTTAATAGGGTTATCTTAATTATATTTAAAGTCTTGTTTTAACAATGAGATTATAAATCACTTGAAAGGTTCTTGCCATAAGTAATAATTCTTTTTTTGTTGTTGTTTTTTTGAGATGGAGTCTTGCTCTGTCGCCAGGCTGGAGTGCAGTGGTGCGATCTCGGCTCACTGAAACCTCTGCCTCCTAGGTTCGAGCGATTCTCCTGCCTCAGCCTCCCAAGTAGCTGGGACTACAGGTGCACGCCACCACACCCAGCTAAATTTTTGTATTTTTAGTAGAGATGGGGTTCCACCATGTTGGCCAGGATGGTCTTGATCTCCTGACCTCATGATCCGCCCGCCTCGGCCTCCCAAAGTGCTGGAATTACAGGTGTGAGCCACTGCGCCCGGCCACCGTAAGTAATAATTCTTTAATAATTATTTTGTGTTTCTGCTTACCTTCACTCCCCTTCCAACTTCTCAGAGCACCAAAGGAATATCATGCAGGTCTTAGTCCCATAGTAACCACATTTGTTTTATTTTGTCCCCCTTATGTTAGTTACTTCATGTGAAAACAAAGATGGTTGGAAGAGCATGCTTGTTCAAATCCTGAATAGTCCACACATTCCTAGGTTAGTGGAGTAAATGTTTTATTGTCTTTGGATTGTAAAAGTGGCTGGGCATGGTGGCTCACGCCTGTAATCCCAGTACTTTGGAAGGTCAAGGTGGGCAGATCACAAAGTCAGGAATCCGAGACCAGGCTGGCCAACGTGGTGAAACGCCATCTCTACTAAAAATACAAGAATTAGCTGGGTGTGGTGGCGGGCACCTGTAATTCCAGCTACTCTGGAGGCTGAGGCAGGAGAATCCTTTGAACAGGGGAGGCAGAGGTAGCAGTGAGCTGAGATCGCACCATTGCACTCCAGCCTGGGTGACAGGGCGAGACTCCATCTCAAAAAAAAAAAAATAATAATGTGTTTGTTATAGAAAATGCTTAGATAAGTATAATTCAGAAAGTTATAATTTCTCTGATAATTTTCAGTGGTAATCAATGTTAACATTTTGATGTACACTGTAGACTCAGGTGCAAACATATACACATATTTGTATCTTGATAGTAATGTATGTACTATTACCCGTTTCCCCCCACCGCATCTCCCCCGTACACGTCATAATATATTGTGGACAAATTTCCACTCACGGGCTGGGCGCAGTGGCTCATGCCTGTAATCCCAGCACTTTGGGAGGCTGAGGTGGGAGGACTGCTGGAGCTCAGGAGTTTGAGACCAGCCTGGGCAATAGAGACCTCATCTCTATTAAAAAAAAAAATTCCACTCACTTAATATTTTATTGAGTTCAATTTTGACACTGAGGTATGAAACATCTATTTTTATATGTAGGTGGTTCTTAGTAAGGAGTAGTTGATTCCTGAGGGTAGAGGGTGGAAAATATTGAACGCTTTAACATATGTATTTTTAAAGTTTTTGAATATTTGTGTTAGATTAAATAAACTATCAGTAATTATTTTCTTCTTTGCTTTATGTCCTGAAACCCTTGCTTTGGTGCCCAAAACAGGTTTTTTCAGTTATCATTGGCGATTGATAGATCAAAAATTATCTGATGTAGTGAGATAAGTTGCCATGTAGCTTCCTAGTCATGGAGGCTGGATTATGGTATGCTAGTGATTAGTGGGAAATTTTTAAGTTTAAACATATATTTATTGAGCACCATGTCAGGCACTATGAAGAGGGAAAAATTAAATTGAGCAGAGTCCTAGATATGTTTATTTTTTAGGCAGAGAACAGAAGGGAAGCAGTATCAAATTAGAACAAAAAAGTCAAAAGGTAAATTTCCTAGACCATGAATTCATGTATATACGTGTGTATGTGTGTGTGTGTGTGTGTGTGTGTGTGTGTGTGTATGTGTGTGTGTTTTGAGACAGGGTTTCTCTCTGTTGCTGAGGCTGGAGTGCAGTGGTGAGATCATGGCTCACTGCAGCCTCGGCTTGCCAGGCTCAAGCAATCCTCCCACCTCAGCCTCCCAAGTACCTGGGACTATAGGGTCATGCCACCATGCCCACCTAATTGTTGTATTCTTCATAGAGATGGGGTCTTGCTATGTTGCCCAGGCTGTTCTCAAACTCCTGGCCTCAAGTGATCCTCCTGCCTCAGCCTCCCAAAACAAAGTGCTGGGATAACGCGTGAGCTATCACACCCAGCCTGAATTCATTTTTTATGGTTTATCTCATACTTAAATCATTTGTTTCTATATTTGCTTCATAGTGACTTACGTGCTTAAATAAGTTTAAGCAATAAAAACCTGTACATATTTAAAAAATGTTTCTATAGTGAAAAGGAATGTGACTTTGAGATACCACCTTTTTCTCCTTGAGTAAGATTTACATGTGGTTATTGGACTAGATTGAGAATTTTGCAATGTTTATGTCAAAATGAAGGAAATTATACTATGAGCAGTCAAAATCTTGAAAATTTTTAGCTATGGCCTACAAGATTCTTTTTGTTCCTTCATGTTATTTTTCTATTAGTTTACCATATACTATGTTTATATTAATTGCTTCAACAGTTTGAGAAGCAATAACAGAAAACACGTTTTGTAGATAATCTAAGGTAATCACTTATTTAAAATGAAAAGTTATTAAAGCTATCAGAAGAAATCTTAAATTTGACCTATGCCTATGAATAAGAAAGTGTTTTTTCCAACAAATATGTTGGGGACCAAGGGGAAGTCAGGCAAAACATATTCAGGTTTTGTATGTTTTAATCCTTTTATTTTCTCAGCTTCTTGATCTTCCTACATGCTTGCAGATGTTAAATGTGAGGACCCTGAAAAAAATTTTTTTTGATCCTGAGTATAGAAAACATTTTATAAGAAAAAATAATGGCCATGTGTGGTGGCTCATGCCTGTAATTCCAGCACTTTGGGAGGCTGAGGTGGGTGGATTGCTTGAGCTCACGAGCTTGAGACCAGCCTGGGCAACCTGACAAAACCCTGTCTCTACCAAAAATACAAAAAATTAGCTGGACGTGGTGGCATGCACCTGTGGTTCTAGCTACTCAGGAGGCTGAGGTGGGAGGATGACTAGAGTCCAGGAGGCAGAGGTTGCAGTGAGCTGAGATTGTGCCAGTGCACTCCAGCCTGAGTGACAGAGTGACACTGTCTCAAAAAAAACCAAAAATGTAAAATGGGAAATTATAGTAGAAATGATCCTTAAGGTTCCTGTAATTCTGTGACTGATTCTAATTTTTTCGTGTGTCTTGAAGCTGTTTAGTAGTGTGCTGCGATATGGAGGATGGTGTTCAGAAAGTTGTGTTAGCATTGTAAAACTTCCCTTCATTTAGAGGGACACATGTGGTAGAATAGTCAAGAGTGTAAGTTCCAGTTTTTCTGCCTGCTGGCTGTGTGACCTTGAGCATGCCATTTAGGCTCATTTTTCTTATCTGTAAAATGTGAAAAGGATGGTGTTCAGAAAGTTGTGTTAGCATTGTAAAACTTCCCTTTGTTTAGAGGGACACCTGTGGTAGAGTAGTCAAGAGTGTAAGTTCCAGCTTTTCTGCCTGCTGGCTGTGTGACCTTCAGCATGCCATTTAGGGTCATTTTTCTCATCTGTAAAATGTGAAATAACATCAAGTACCTCACAGGATTATTGTGAGGATCAATTGAGATAATGTGTTAACAGTTACTTGGACATGGCTGGGCGCAGTGGCTCACGCCTGTAATCCCAGCACTTTGGGAGGCTGAGGCGGGCGGCTCATGACATCAGGAGATCGAGACCATCCTGGCTAACAAGGTGAAACCCTGTCTCTACTAAAAAAATACAAAAAATTAGCCAGGCTTAGTGGCGGGTGCCTGTAGTCCCAGCTACTCAGGAGGCTGAGGCAGGAGAATGGTGTGAACCCGGGAGGCGGAGCTTGCAGTGAGCTGAGATCGCACCACTGCACTCCAGCCTGTGTGACAGAGCGAGACTCCGTCTCAAAAAGAAAAAAAAATATTAAAAAAAAAGTACTTGGACATTACAAAGTACTATACAAATACAAGGTGGTATATAAAAAGAGGTATCTAAATCTATGAAGAACAGTAGTTTCATAGTAGCTTTTCTCTTTAATTATTGATTCTTTCTGCTTCCTGTATGTTTTGTTCACAATTAGGCAGTCCGTTGCCACTGGGCAGTATAGATATGTTGTCCAGCCTGCCATCACTGGACTGTAGTTAAGGTGGATGTCTTGTCCAGTCTGCTGCCACTGGGCTGTATGTAAGGAGGTTCTTCTGTCCACCCCACCGCTACTGGACTCTCTTCCCTGTAGGTAAGCCCCTAATAAAATCCCATGTTTTGTCTGGGCGTGGTGGCTCATGCCTGTAATCCCAGCATTTTGGGAGGCTGAGGTGGGTGGATCACTTGAGGTCAGGAGTTCGAGACCAGCCCGACCAACATAGTGAAATCCCCCCTCTACTAAAAATACAAAAAAAATTAACCGGGTTTGGTGGTGTATGCCTGTAGTCCCAGCTACTTGGGAGGGTGAGGCAGGGGGATTGCCTGAACCTGGGAGGCAGAGGTTGCAGTGAGCTGAGATCATGCCATTACACCCCAGTGTGGGTGAGGGAGCAAGATTACGTCTCAAAAAAAAAAATCCCATGTCTCGTTTGCTGGTTCTGGGTCTCTTCTTTGGCCTCTTGAACCTGGTGCCATCCCTATTGAGGTTAATAGGGGTTAGGCACAACATATTTACTCTTCTTTTTAGACTCCCTAAAAGAATTTCTTGACTTAGAGACAGAAGTACCTCATCTACATGTTTTGCTAATTTAGTGAATCAGCTAGTTGAGGAGGAAAGTTAGATAATTTCACTGGAGATTGGACCAGAGTTAAAACTTGAAAGCCCAAGGCCACTTAATCTTTATTGGAGAAATTCATGACGTTGTATAACATTGTTTTATTTTGAGAACCAATTCTTAACTTTCTTAGCTGTTGTTTTTCGTTGCTCATACATGTTTGAAATACTGTTTGACATTTAATGCATTATTCGTTGATTCATAGTTTTGAATTTGGGACTTAGAAAACCTGAATTGTAGATCCTAGAGCAGTGTTTTTGAAAAAAGAAATACTGATAGTAGATTACCTAGAAGTTGTTGCAATGGAATTCTGACACTACTGGGAGTTAACATAGACTTCATAGGTTAAGGTCACAGTCCCCAGAAGACTATCCTCACTTAAGACACCAGCCACAAATTTGGAGGTCCCTTCGCTACCTGTGCTCCTGACCACTGGCTACCTATCCAGGAGTTCTCACGATCCATTCAGGTTCAGAAATTCACTAGAATGACTCAGTGCTTGGGAAAGTGCCACACGCTACTTAAAATTACAGTTGTATTATCCTGAATATTCCCCACTAATATTTTTTTAAAACTTTATTTTGAAATGATTGTAGATTCACGGAAAGTTGCAAAAATAGCATAGAGTCCCTTGAATCCTTCCCCTAGCTTCCCCCAGTGGTGGCATCTTATGTAACTGTAGTATAATATCGAAACCAGGAAATTGACATTGGTATAGTATTACTAAACTTTCTTGCTGAGTCATTTGGCCATTTTGGAATCTGAAGGACCAGTGTTTTCTTTAACTCTCATTACTTCTCTAGAAATGTTTGTCTTTTCCTAAATCTCTAATTTCTGATACTGCAGCTTCTGTTTAAAACAGGATCTTACATTTTCCATTCATTTACCTTTTTAAAAATGAATTATAATATCTACTATTTTTATGACTTAAGAAAAATTTTTGAAACATCACTGAGAACTGTTTGCTTACCATCGAAATGGGCAATATTCCTAGGCAACCATATCCATACTCAGGCTTTAGAATAGTCACTGTGAAGTCATGTGGGGTTTTTGTTGTTGTTGTTGTTTTTAGGCCAAGGAAGCTATCCAAGAATTTTGTGAATGAGGCTGAGAGTTGACCTTGCCAGAATTCATGGGGAAGATGTGTTTCTTGTTTTGTGTGGTCAAAGAGAGTTTTTCATCCAAACATTGCCCTCATTTCTTCTCCTTTTTCTGCTGAGTTTTTTTTTTCTTTTGATTTTTTAAGTGTCTAGAGACTTTAACTTCTTTAAATGTTATTTTTTGGTAGAGTTTTATTTTCAGTGGTTTATCTTGGGATAAGTTGAGTAAGAGGTTCAGATTTCAAGACAAACAAGGAATGATTTGTCTTTGCTTTGGGACTTGACATGAAGTATTAAGAAAACGAGGTATTAAGAAAAACTCAATGAGGTGTTAAGAAAAACTCAAAAAACTAATTTATAGTTTTGTTATGAAAGCTACAATCAGACATTCTTAGATTGCTTTATTTTATTCAATGGAGTTTGAGTTTTTGATGGTTTCTTCATGTAAATAGGAAGCCACCAGAAGAAGGCCTGTCATAAGTAAACTTCATTATCTTAGCTAAAAGGACCTTGCCAAAGAAAATTTAGTATAGTGAAGATCATGGTGATAGGAGTTTGACCTAGTGGTGAATGTTTTGTGATTGCTGGCAACTGAACTTTGACTTAGGCAGTCTGGACCATATCTCATGATTTTTGAGCATGGTTCATGCATTTGTTCATTCATGCAACACATTTTTATTGGGCCACCTAGGCAACAGGATATTATGTGGGGCAAAAACTGATGTGATACCCTTCCCCCATGGAACTTAGGGTCTGGTGGAGAAGACAGAAATGTCAAATTAAGTGTTTAAATTGCACCTGTGACAGTGGCATAAGAGTAGGTATTGGGTAACACTTACATTAGTGAGATTTGACCAGATTAGAGAAGGCATCCTCAAGAAATGATACTTGTGCTATGATCTGAAGGAGGAGTAGATGTTAACTTGGCAAAGAAAGGATAGATGGGAGATGGTTGTCCAGACAGAAGAAATAGCAAGTGCAGAGGCCCTGTGGTAGAAGGGAGAATGGTGAAATGAAGGACCTAATTAAGGCTAGCATGGCTTGAACAGTGAGAGTTAGAGAGAAAAAGATCATGGTTTGAGGTGAAGAGAGAGGCCTGTCCTTATTAGGTTTTTATAGGTCATGTTAAGAAGTTTTTGCCGTTTTTCTAAGTATACTAAGAGGAGTAAGTAGCCATTAAAGGGTTTTTAAGCAAGAAAGGACATAGTCAGATTTTCTTTTTTTTTTTCTTTTTTTTTTGACACAGAGTCTCACTGTGTTGCCCACGCTGAAGTGTGGTGGCGTGATCTTGCCTCACCCTTCCGCCTCCCAGGTTTGAGCGATTCTGCTGTCTTAGCCTCCTAAGTAGCTGGGATTACAGTTGTGTGCCACGACACCAGGCTAATTTTTGTATTTTGGGTAGAGACAGGGTTTCACCATGTTGGCCAGGCTGGTCTCGAACTCAGGACCTCAAGTGATCCACCTACCTCAGCCTCCCAAAGTGCTGGGATGTGAGCCACCACACCCAGCAGATGTGCTTTTTTGATAAGAACACTCGACTGAAATGCAAAGAATGGCTTGAAGGGGTACCAGAGTGGATGTAGGGGTATTGGTTAGGAATTTAGTTGTCCATGTGATAGGTAATGGTGGCTCATTTAGACAGAGTTGTGCTGGTAAAGAGGATAGAAAGGCATTCATTCAAGAATATTTAGGAGATATAGTCAGCAGAACTTGATGATGGGTAGAATATGAAGTGGAGAAGAGAGGAGTCCTACATTTCTGATTTAACTTAGTGCTCTTCACTGACAAAAGGAATACTGAAGGAAGACAGGTTTTGTTTTGTTTTGTTTTGTTTTTTTGGGGGAAGATCATGATTTAGGTTTTAGATGTATCAATCTTCAGGTATGTTTTGATGACAGCCAAAAAGAGGAGATAATGGATTGCTTAGATTTAGATATATCCTCTTATTTTGTTTAGTTTGATATTATTTTATTGATTTTTTTTTTTTTTTTGAGGTGGGGTGTGCATATTCACTCTGTTGCCCAGGCTGGAATGCAGTGGCTCAATCATAGCTCACTGCAGCCTAGACCTCCTGGGCTCAAGCAATCCTCCTGCCTTAGCCTCCTGAGTAACTAGGACTACAGGTATGTGCCACCATGGCTGGCTAATTTTTTAAGTTTATTTTTTTGTGGAGGCAGGGCCTCACTGTTCCGTAGGCTGGTCTTGAACTCCTGGGCTCAAGCAATCCTCTTGCCTTTACCTTCTAAAGGGCTGGAATTACAGGTATGAGCCATCATCCCCAGCCATTTTATTCTTAAGATACAAGTAAATACATATGTAGGAACTGATTTGTCATAGGGGTATGCTTACAGGTACTATCCCTATCCTTTAGATTTTTGTATTTGTTTATGTACTGCAGTGTATACTACAGTTTTTTGGTGTTTCTTTTTTTTCTTTTCTTTTTTGAGCAACAAGGTCTTGCTCTGTTGCCCAGGCTAGAGTGCAGTGGCACAATCATAGCTCACTATACCCCAGTTTTAACCAAAGAATAGGTACTGAAAAATACTTCATGAATGATTGAATCAGTAGTTGTAGTGCTTCCCAGAAATGCTGTTTCCTTGCCCATGTTTCTTGTGTGTTGGCAAATAATTAAGGATGCATTATTAATTGACACTTGGAGTGGTTAATAATATACTCCTCCTACCCAACAATCTCCTCTCTTCCCATAAGCCTTCTATTTTTATTCTAGAATTTTATAAAATGTTAAGACCAAAATTACCTCACTACTCAGAAATACATCATTTAATAGAGTCAACATCGACAGAAAGTTAAAAATTATAAACAAAATAGGCATTGTTTGGCCTTGAGCTGTATTGTTCTTTATGCTAGCCGGTTTATGATTTTTTAAAAAACTCTTTTCTTCAGTTTTTAAAATTGTGGTAACACGTAACAGAAAATTTACCATCTCAACCATTTTTAAGGGTACGGTTGAATGGTATTAAATACATTCATAATGTGTAACCATCAGGACCAGCCATCTCTATAGCTCTTTTTGTCTTGTAAAACCAAAACTATTTATCTCTTTGTGATTGGCTTATTTTATGTCTGTCCTCAAGGTTCATCTAAAGGTTCATCTTCGTTGTTGTATACTGCAGAATTTTCTTCCTTTTTTTTTTTTTTTTTTTTTTTTTGAGACGGTGTCTCGTTCTGTCACCCAGGCTGGAGTGCAGTGGCATGAGCTTGGCTCACTGCAACCTCTGCCTCCCGGGTTCAAGCAATTCTCCTACCTTGGACTCCTGAGTAGCTGGGATTACAGGCACATGCCACCACATCCAACTAATTTTTGTATTTTGAGTAGAGACAATGTCTCACCATTTAGGCCAGGCTGGTCTCAAATTCCTGACCTCAAATGATCCACCTACCTCAGCCTCCCAAAGTGTTGAGGTTACAGGCATGAGCCACTGCACCTGGTCACCACTTTGTTTTTTCTTTTTTCAGACAGGGTCTCACGCTGTTGCCCAGGTTGGAGTACAGTGGCACAATCAGGGCTCACTGCAGCCTTGACTTTCCAGGTTCAAACAATCCTCCTGCCTCAGCCTCACAAGTAGCTGGGACTACAGGCATGTGCAACCACACCCGGCTAATTTTTTTTGAATTTTTAGTGGAGACAAGGTCTCATTATGTTGCCCAGGCTGGTCTTGAACTCCTTAGCTTAAGCAATCCTCCTGCCTCAGCCTCCCAAAGTGCTGGGATTATGGGCGTGAGCCACCACGCCTGGCAATTTTTTTCCTTTTGAAGGCTGAATAACATTCCATGGTATGTATATGCTGCATTTTGCCTATTCATCTATACTGCTGTGAGGGTGTATAGGTATCTCTTCGAGGCCTTGCTTTGAACTCTTTTGTATATGTACCCAGAAGTAGAATTGCTAGATTAGGTGATAATTCTAATTTTAATTTTCTGGGAACCACCATACTGTTTTCCACAGTGGCTGTACCATTTTACATTCCCATCAACAATGCACAAAGATTCCAATTTCTGCACATCATTACCAACACTAAACTTTCTGCTTTCCTGATAGTAGCCGTCCTAATGTTTGTGGTTTATAATTTGATTAAGATAGCATATCTGAATATTTTCTTATTTTTTCCATCTTTGAAAATTAAAATAGACTGAATTTTTGTTACATTGTCTTTAATAACTAAGTTGCTTGCCTTTTTACTAAGCAGATTTTTTTTGAAGGGATTTATGTGATAGTCTTTGTCTTTTTATCTTGCTGGAAGTTTGATCCACTCAACTGACAGCTTTATTTTTCTTTCCTCAAAAGCTAGAACTAAGCCTACAGGAAGGAAAGGAGTATACACTGGAGCCAAAGGCTGGTGCTACATAGGCCTGTAGGGTGTGCATATTCAGAAGCTTTGCAATTGGTTGGCCTGGATCTGTCAAAACATGTTTGGATGACTCTGGCTGTGTACTGATTTATTTATGTGCTTCTGAGTAGTGATCCTGGGAATGAATGCATTATGACTATTTGTTGGGAATAGGCCCCCCAAAATCTGGCCATAAACTGGCCCCAAAACTGGCCATAAACAAAATCTCTGCAGCACTGTGACATGTTCATGATGGCCATAATGCCCACGCTGGAAGGTTGTGGGTTTACTGGAATGAGGGCAAGGAACACCTGGCCCACCCAAGGCAGAAAACCGCTTAAAGGCATTCTTAAACCACAAACAATAGCATGAGCGATCTGTGTCTTAAGGACATGCTCCTGCTGCAGATAACTAGCCCAACCCATCCCTTTATTTCGGCCCATCCCTTCGTTTCCCATAAGGGATACTTTTAGTTAGTCTAGTATCTGTGGAAACAATGCTAATGACTGGTTTGCTGTTAATAAATACATGGCTAAATCTCTGTTCGGGGCTCTCGGCTCTGAAGGCTGTGAGACCCCTGATTTTCCACTTCACACCTCTCTATTTCTGTGTGTGTGTGTCTTTAATTCCTCTAGCTCCACTGGGTTAGGGTCTCCCCCACCGAGCTGGTCTCGGCAACTATTGTTTGGAAAACTGTTGTATAGCTTGCTTGGGGAGAAAAACTCAGAGAAGCCCCACTGTTGAACAGGTTGTAAATTCACTGGTTTAATCTTCTATGAATGCTTTTCAGAGATTAAGCCTTTGCCTGATCTCAGCAGCAAATTCTAATATTTTGGATGCAAGTTATTTCACAGAAGGGACTCTGATAGGAAGACAGAATGTGAAATTAAACATCTATGTCTTAGGTCTGGCAGAAATAGATACTGTTAACATCAGTGTGTTGGGTATAAAATAATCTCTCTTCTGGTTTCAGGAAAGCATAGAGAAAAAAACTAAGATTCTTTTCTAATTTTTATTGACCCAGCTGAAATAGTATAATGTCTTGCCTTTTTAAGGCACTTAAACATTTGTTTAGTTGAATTGTTTGAAAGGACAGAGGAGAATAGGACATTCCATATTTGAACAGTATAAGTAGAAGAACATGAATTGATGGAGGTGGTAGTATCCTTCCACATTTTTTTTTCTATCAGGAATTAGACTCCTACAGACTTTGTATCTTAAGAAAGAAATGCAGAATGTTGGTAAAATACTAACAGTTTTCAAATGATACCTAATCTAAATGTTAATTGAAATAGAATTCACAACAAATCTGCTCATGTAATCCTGAATCTAAAATAAAAGTTTTTAAAAAATTATGCACAAAAAGTAAAAAAAAAAAGAAATATAATTTATAATCTTGAATTAAATGTAATCCCCTTCAGTGGATGCACACACATACATATATATACATGGGTGTATATATGTATGTGTGTGTGTATGTAGAGATACTTTTTTTATTTTTTATTTTTTTTTGAGATGGAGTCTCGCTCTGTTGCCCAAGCTGTAGTGCGGTGGTGTGATCTTGGCTCACTGCAAGCTCTGCCTCCCAGCTTCGTGCCATTCTCCTGCCTCAGCCTCCTGAGTAGCTGGGACTACAGGTGCCCGCCACCACCCCCGGCTAATTTTTTGTATTTTTTTAGTTGAGAGGGGGTTTCACTGTGTTAGCCAGGATGGTCTCGATCTCCTGACCTCATGATCCTCCCTCCTCAGCCTCCCGAAGTGCTGGGGTTACAGGCGTGAGCCACCGTGCCTGGCCGAGATACTTTTTTTTTTTTTTGAGATGGAGTCTCGCTCTGTTGCCCAGGTTGGAGTGCAGTGGCATGCAATCTCAGCTCACTGCAACATCCGCCTCCTGGGTTCAAGCGATTCTCATGCCTCAGCCTCCCAAGTAGCTGGGATTACAGGCATGAGTCACCAGGCCCAGCTTTTTGTATTTTTAGTAGAGGTGGAGTTTCACCATGTTGGCCAGGCTGGTCTCGAACTCCTGACCTCAGGTGATCTGCCCACCTTGGCCTCCCAAAGTGTTGGGATTACAGGTGTGAGCCTCTGCACCCAGCCGATATAGAGATACTTACAAATAAATGCACTAGTCTAATCCTTATTAAATCTTGCTCTGTTAAATTTATGATCATGATGTGGTACATGTTTAATAGTAGTAGTAGCAGTAAGAAAAAGTTATAGTAGCTCTTAGTATTCTTTTGTGCCAGGCTGTATATTAAGTGTTTTCCATGTGCATATTGTGTCATTTATTCTTTACAATAAGACTGTAGAATGGGCAATATTTTTATCTCCATTTTGGAAATCAAGTAATTTGCTCAAGGACCAACAATTAGTAGAGGAGCGAGCCATAGTAGCAGAATGTTTCAATGATGTAGGAAGTCAGGTCATAAGAGGAATGAAGGTGGGGGAGGGAGTATTAGATTTGAAGAGTTAAGTGTGAAATAGTCCTTCATGAGAATATGGGAGTGAATAGACTAGAGAAACATAGTCAGATTACAGAATAGAATCAAATGCTCATTTGAGGTTAGTGGACATGAATTTAAAGTTTCATTGGTTGGCACGGATTTGTGTATTTTCTTGTACTTTCAACTGCACAGTGTACTTTCAACTATAAGGGTTCAGGTATGGAATCAGAGTTAGATTGGCAGGATTGGGGTTTTGCCAGTTGTTTGAGGAAAGGAGGCCAAGGAAGCTAAGGGTGTGCAAGGGAATGTTTATAATGATGGCTCATATAATCTAAGCTAGGGGACTTATTATAGGAGAAGGGGTTAAATAGAATGGAAGTGGAGTTATTTTTATCCTGTGTATATTCACTCTTTTCAACAGATGGTCCTAGAACAATTGGAGATTCATACGCACACAAAGAACCTCAACCCTTACCTCACACCAGACACAAAAGCTACCTTCAAATAAATCATAGGCCTAACTTGAAGAGCTAAAACCATGCAACTCCAGAAAGTTTTTGTCAGAAAGAAAATACAGGAGAAAATCTTAGTGACCTTGGGGTAGGCAAAGATTTCTTAAGACACAAAAAGCATGAAGTATAAAGGGGAAAAAATCGCTAAATTGGATTTCATCCAAGTTAAAAACTTTTAATCTTTGAAAGATACCTTTAAGAAAATGAAAAAGTACGCCTTGGGCTGGGAGAAAATATTTGCAGAACGTGTGTCTGACAGAGGATGTGTATCTAGAAGATATAAAGAATTGTAACTCAAGAATTGAAAGACAACCCCATAAGAAAAGGGGGAAACAATTTGAATAAAGTTCATCAAAGAATATAAATGGCAAATAAGCACATGAAAAGATGCCCAAAGTCGTAAGTCATTAGGGAAATATAAATTTAAACCATAATGAGATACCACTGCATACTCCCTAGAATGGCTGTAATGAATAGGATTAGTCACATGGTGACAAGAATGGAGGATCATCTGGAACTCTCATACACTGACGATAGGAATGTGAAATGGATCAACTACTTTGGAAGACAATTGGGCAGTTTCTTTCAAAGTAAATGTGAAGATGCCATACGATTCATCCATTCCATTTCTAATTATTCAAGAGAAATGAAACTGTATATCCACAAAAAAGACTTGTACACAAACATTCACAGCAGCTATTATTTATTGGTAATAGCTAAAAACTGTAAACAGCTCCCATATCCATCAAGTGTATGGATAAACAAATTTGGTGTATTTATACAATGGAATACTACTCGGCAATAAAAAGAACAGTTGATACTCTCAACAACCTAGATGGACCTCAAAATAATTCGGTTTAATGAATGAAGCCAAACTTAAGAAGAGTACATTGTATGTACTTGGAGAACTAACTTCTTGCAATAGATTTTTAAGCACTATTAGGAGCATATGACTTAAACAGTTTTTAAAAGTCAGGGAGTAAGTATGCTTAAATAAAATACAATCTGTGAAACAAATCTCTGAATTATTATCACTTCACTGGACACTCTAACTTGACCATATTTCTGACTTTAATGTAACTCACTCTTATTCCGTAGTCACATGTTTGCTTGCTCATTGGTTCACATTACATTTATTCAGCATCTGCTTGAGCCAAGGCACTGTAACTACATGTTTTTTTTAGTTACCTACTTTTGTAAGGTCCTGTTTCTTTGGCTACATCTGATTACAGTAAACATAGGAAGTTTAATAAAACAATTTTCATGACCGAGGAGACAGCATTCTTTTTTCAAAATTATGTATGTATGTATGTATGTATGAATGAATGAATGACAGGATCTTGCTCTGTTACCCAGGATGAGGTACAGTGGTGTGATCATAGCTCACTGCAGGCCAGAACTCCTGGGCTCAAGCAATCCTCCTGCCCTTTTTTTTTTTTTTTTTTTTTTTTTTTAGTAGAGATTGAGGTCTTGCTATGTTGCACAGACTGGTCTTGAACTTCTGGGCTCAAGTGATCCTCCTGCCTCAGCATCCCAAAGTGCTGGGATTATGGGCTTGAGCCACTATGCCTGGCCAGCATTCTTCAAAGTCATAAATGTCTACTGAACTTGATTATATTTTTCTTATTTTTGTTTTAACTCTTGGATTTCCTATTACTGGGTTAGTAATGTGTTATAAAACCAGGAGGTCAAGAGAAAGATTTGTTTTGAGTGTGAATGACTGGTTGGTAAAAGATGTTGCTAAATCACAAATTCCCTTAGTAGGTGGTTGGAAAAATGTTGCTCCTTATAAAATAGAAGCACAAGAAAGAAATAACTTTAAGAATAGAACTGTTGAATAAATTTTCAGTGTAGCAAAGCATAAAGTATGTGTTACCTTCGAAACCATTTCAAATGACCTGCAGTGAAGGAGAAAGCATAAATGGGAGATGTTTTTAAAATCTGAAAAACATGGCTAAGGTTTCACTTCTATAAGTAGTGTGATAATAGCTCCCTGCAGCCTCTATCTCTTGGGTTCAGTGGATCCTCCCACCTCAGCCTCCTGAGAAGCTGGGACTATAGGCATGTGCCACTATGCCCAGCTAAAGTGATCTGCCTGCCTTGGCCTCCCAAAGTGCTGGGATTACAGTAGTGAGTCACCATGCCCAGCCCAAAAGAGAATTTTTCCCCCAACGCCTTTTGGCTGCCAAATACTAAAGTATTTGTGAGACACTGACCTTTTTTTTTTGCCCCCACATATGTCACATGATGTTTGATGTTTTTCTTTTGTTTTTTCTTTTTATTTTTTTGAGACAGAGTCTCACTCTGTTGCCCAGGTTGAAGTGCAGTGATGTGAACACGGCTCACTGCAGCCTGTACCTCTCCAGCTCAAACAATCCTCGCACCTCAGCCTCTTGAGCAGCTGGGACCACAGGTGCATGCCACCACATCTGGCCACTTAAAAATTTTTTTTTGTAGAGACAGGGTCTCCCTGTGTTGCCCAGACTTGTCTCGACATGATATTTTTCTATTGGGGGTGAGATTAGATGGAATTTCAGGGTATTTTACCTGATATTTCATGACTTGCCATCACAGACACTTAGGCTCTTTGGGGACATTCTATTATCAACTCCTGAAGTTGTCACAACCCTTTTCTCAGGTACTTCTACATCAGTGAGGGTTAACTGAATTGTCTAATGCAGTGTGTTTCAGTTTCATGGGGCCTCTTTCCTTCTCGCCAATGGTTATTAACTATTTGTTTTGATAGTATATATCTGATTTATATACTTCAATGATAGTATTTATTTATGTATCTTTATTTCAAAAAGCATTTGAAAATTATAGACTTCTGAGGAAAGCTGGATGCCTTTCCTCACCTTCATTTTGAGATAAGTATACTCATGGGAGTAAAAAAGTAATATTTAGGGTAGTTGGGAATGTCTGTAGACATGGAGATATTTATAGATTATTTGTACTTTTCCCTCAGAATATCTCACCCCTTTCCTCCTTTTTTTCTTCTATTGATTGCTCAGTTGGCTTGCTTATTGGTTCATATTTAAAATCCTCATCTATATTAATTATGAGACTTCAGGCCTGGCCCATTATGGAAGTAGTTCTAGCATTGTGTGTGTGTGTGTGTGTGTGTGTGTGTGAGTGTGACAGGGACTTGCTCTGTTGCCGAGGCCAGAGTGCAGTGGTGTGATCTCAGCCAACTGCAGCTTCCATCGCCTGGGATCTAGTGATCCTCCTCCTCAGCCTCCTGAGTAGCTGGGACTACAGGGATACACCACCACACCCACCTAATTTTTGTGTTTTGTAGAGACAGGGTTTCACCATGTTGCCCTGGCTGAACATTCTTAATAGGCTAGGATTCATAATCTAGATGTGCTTTTCAGACAGATTGTCCTCTAGATATACTGACCCTTATAGACATCCTTTCCCTCTTTCACCTTTTAAATTTTATTTTCAAAAAGGAACAGGATATTTCTTTGGAATAACAAAGGAGTCTAATTTTTGGGTCACAGGTAGCATCAAAGAAGGAAGTATTTTGAGAGTAAAGAGTTTTCATTCTTACTAGTCCAGCAGTTAAGTTAGAAAACTAAAATAAAGGATTCAGTTCTCCATCAGCTGCCTGCCTAGACCAGATTTTGGATTTCAGATGAAAAGATGCAGAAATAGTGTTAGAATCAAGGCAGAATGACCTAGCACCTTTCTTGCGGTTACCGTTCAGGAATGGTGAGAGAAGATGGGAGAGGCAGGGAAGACAAGGCAAAAACTACCAATGCAAACTCTGGATTTAATTTGTACGTTCCTGAAAACAAAGGTAAGAAAAAAAACACCGAATGTTGGGCATTGTTAGAATTTATTCTTGCATATGTATCATATACCTAGGATTTGTAGGTTTCAAACATTTAATTATTTTTCCCAGTTTTACCCAAAAGATCCCTGTCTGTGTGGATGCCAGATGAAGACTAGTCCATACTTTGTATGTTTCTTTCTGTAATTCCATTCACTCCTGAAATCATGGCAGTGTTTTTCCACCTATAATATTATTCCTTCTCGATTTTTTAGCTTTTTATACATTACTAGATTTTGTAGATTTTTGGTAGATATCCTTATTAAACTAAGGGAGTTCCCATCTGTCTTTGTTGGGAGTATTTATCGTAAATAGATATTGGAATAGTCTAATGTGTTTTCTGCGTTTTTTGTTATGATCACATGGTTTTCTTATTTAGTTTCTTAGTATGGTGAACTACATTGATTTTTGAATGTGAACCAGCCCTACATCCCTGGGATAAACCCTACTTAGCCTAGATGCATTGTCTTTTTATATAATGCTGTATTTGATTTGCTAATATTTTGTTAAAGGTTTTTGCATATATGTTCATTAGAGATACTGGTCTGCATGCAGAGTTGTTTTTTTTTTTTTTTGGTAGTGTCTGTTTTGTTTTGGTATTAGAGTAATGTTAGTCTCATAAAATGAGTTGGGAAATGTTCCCTTCTCTTTTTTGCAAGAGAGAGTAGAATTGTTATTATTTCTTATTTAAATGGTTGGTCGAATTAACCATTAAAACCATCTGGGTCTGGAGTTTTCTTTTTTGGGAAGTTTCAAACTACAAATTCACTTTCTTCAATAGAGTTATTTAGGTATCTGTTTTTCCTTCTATATTTTTTGTAGTTCATGTCATATTTCAAGGAATTGGTTTATTTTATCTAAGCTATCAAATTTAGGGTCATAGAGGTGTTCGTAATATCTTTTATTATTCTTTTTTAACATCTATTGGATCAGTATTGATGTCCTTTCTCCTTCATTCCTGATATTGGTAATTTATGTCTTTGTTTATTTCTTGGATAGCCTGGCTATAAGTTTATCAATTTTATCAATCTTTTCAAAGAACCAGCTTTTGCTTTCATTGGTTTTTCTACATTGTGTTTCTTTTGTCAGTTTTGTTGATTTCTGCTCTAATTTTTATTATTTTTTCCTTCTTTTTTTTTTGAGACGGTGTCTTGCTGTGTCTCCTAGGCTGGAGTGCAGTGGTGCGATCTCGGCTCACTGCAAGCTCCGCCTCCCAGGTTCATGGCATTCTCCTGCCTCAGCCTCCTGAGTAGCTGGGACTACAGGCACCTGCCACCACGCCCGGCTAATTTTTTTGTATTTTCAGTACAAATGGGGTTTCACTGTGTTAGCTGGGATGGTCTCGATCTCCTGACCTCGTGATCTGCCCACCTCAGCCTCCCAAAGTGCTGGGATTATAGGCGTGAGCCACCACACCTGGCCTCCTTCTGTTTTAGTTATAATTTGTTCTTTTTTTACTGTGCCAAGGTAGAAGCCTAGGTTGTTGGTTTTAGGTCTTCTTTTATAAGATATAATTAAGACTATACATTTTCCTCTAAGTACTGTTTTAGCTGCATTTCATAAATTTTGATAATGTTGTATTTTTGTTTACTTTGCAAGTATTTTTTAAGGTAGATAAACTTCCCTTCTGTTTCCTGCTATACTTGCAAATATTTTTAAAATTTCCTTATGACTTCATCTTTTAATCATGGGTTATTTAGAAGTGTATTGTTTAATATCCACATATTTGGAGGCACTTTCCTAATATATTTTGTTATTGATTTTAGTTTTATTCTATTATGGTCTGAGAATGTACTTTGTATTTTTATTTATCTTGAAGATTTCTTTTATGGCACAGAATATGGTATATCTTTGTGAATGTCCTATGTGTACTTGAAAAGAATGTATATTCAGCTGTTGTTCAGTGGAGTGCCCTACAAATGTCACTCAGGTCAAATTAGGTGATAGTACTGAACTGTTGAGGTCACATCTATCTGCTTACGTGTGTGTGTGTGTGTGTGTGTGTGTGTTTTGTTTTTTTTTAGACAAAGTCTCGCTGTATCACCCAGGCTGGAATACAGTGGCACGATCTCTGCTCACTGCAACTTCTACCTCCCAAGTTGCAGTGATTCCCGTGCCTCAGTCTCCTGAGTAGCTGGGACTACAGGTGCATGTCACCAAGCCCAGCTAATTTTGGTAGTTTTGGTAGAAACAGGGTTTTGCCATGTAGGCCAGGCTGGTCTTGAACTCCTAGCCTCAAGTGATCTGCCCACCCCAGCCTCCTAAAGTGCTGAGATTACCACGGTGAGCCACTATGCCTGGCCAATCTGCTTACTTGGTTTATCAATTACTAAGGGTTAACTGTTAATAAAAGTCTACTATAATTGTAATTTGTCTTTATTTTCTGTCATACCTATCAGTTTTGCCTCATGTATTTTGAAGCTTTGTTTTAAGGTACATACACATTTAGAATTGTTATGTCTTCTTAGGAACTGACCCTATTATAATACCCCTTGTATTAGTTTGTTTTCACAATGCTATAAAGAACTACCTGAGACTGGGTAATCTATAAAGAAAAGAGGTTTAATTGACTCACAGTGCCGCATGGCTGGGGAGGCCTCAGGAAACTTATAATCATGGCAGAAGGGAAAGTAAGTCACGTCTTACATGGTGGCAGGAGTGGGGGCAGAACTGCCACACACTGTAAAACCATCAGATCTTGTGAGAACTCACTATCACAAGAACAGCAGCTTGAATTTCTCCCCCAGAAAATGGGTTTTTCTTTTCTACTACATGGTAAGGCTGCAAATTTTCCAAACTTTTATGCTCTGCTTCCCTTTTAAACATAAGTTCCAATTTCAGACTATCTCTTTGTGAACACATATGACATACAATGAACATTTTCATTATTATTATTATTATTTTGAGAGGGAGTCTCACTCTGTTGCCCAGGCTGGAGTGCAATGACACGATCTTGGCTCACTGCAACCTCTGCCTCCCAGTTCAAGTGATTCTCCTGCCTCAGCCTCCCAAGCTGGGACTACAGGTGTATGCCACCATGCCCAGCTAATTTTTGTATTTTTAGTGGAAACGGAGTTTCACCATATTGGCCAGATTGGTCTCGAACTTCTGACGTCAGGTGATCCACCTGCCTTGGCCTCCCAAAGTGCCGGGATTACAGGCATGAGCCACTGTCCCCGGCTGACAGTACGCTTTCAGAAAAAGCCAGGTCACATCTTGAATGCTTTGCTGCTTAGAAATTTCTCCTGCCAGATACTCTAAATCATGTCTTTCAAGTTCAAAGTTCCGCAGATCTCTAGGGCAGGGACAAAATGCCACCAGTCTGTTTGCTAAGGCATAGCAAGAGTGACCTTTGCTCCAGTTCACAATAAGTTTCTCATCTCCATCTTGGGCCACTTCAGCCTGGATTCATTGTCCATATCACAATCAGCACTTTGGTAAAAATCTTCTAACAAGTCTCTAGGAAGTTCCAAACTTTCCCACATCTTCCTGCCTTCTTCTGAGCCCTCCAAACTTTTCCAGCCTCTGTCTGTTACCCAGTTCCAAAGTCACTCCACATTTTCTGGTATCTATAGTAGTACCCCATTCCTGGTACCAATTTTCTGGGTTAGTCCATTTTCACACTGCTATAAAAAACTACCTGAGACTGGGTAGTTTATAAAGAAAAGAGGTTTAATTTGACTCTCAGCCCCACATGGCTGGGAAGGCCTCAGGAAACTTAAAATCATCGCAGAAGGTGAAGGGGAAGAAAGGCATGTCTTACATGGCAGCAGGAGTGGGGTGGGGAACTGTCACATACTTTTAAACAATCAGATTTCATGAGAACTCATTATCACAAGAACAGGGGGAAACCACCCCCGTGATCCAGTCGCCTCCCACCAAGTCCCTCCCTTGACATGTGTGGATTACAATTCAAGATGAGATTTGGGTAGGGACACAGAGCCAAACCAGATCACTCCTCTTTATCCTTGACAATCTTTCTTGTTCTGAAATCTACTTTGTCTGCAATTCATTTGGCTACAGTAGCTTTCTTTTGATTAATTAGTGTTTGTATGGTATATTTTTCTCCATTGTTTTATTTTTTTCCTCTTTAAATCTTTGCTTAGCAGGCTTCTTGTGGACCGAATATAGCTTGATCTTGCTTTTTTTTTTTTTTTTTTGAGACAGGTTCTCACTCTGTCACCCTGGTTGGAGTACAGTAGCATGATCATGGCTCATTGCAGCCTTGACCTCCTGGGTTCAATCAATCCTCCCACCTCAATGTCCTAAGTAGCTGGACTTACAGGCATATGCCACCATGCCCAGCTATATTTTGTATTTTTGTAGAGAAAGGGTTTCACCATGTTGCCCAGGGTAGTCTTGGGCTCCTGGGCTCAAGCGATCCTTCTGCCTCAGCCTCCCAAAGTGCTGGGATTACAGGTGTGAGCCATTACACCCGGCCTGGTCTTGCTTTTTTTTTTCTCCCCCAGTCTGACAATCTGTTTTTTAACTGGTAAGACTATTTACATTTAAAGTGATTATTAGTATAATTAGATGAAAACCTACCATCTTGCTAGCTCTTCTCTATTTGTTGCATTTGTTGTTTGTTTCTTTTTTTATTTTTTGAGACAAGGTCTCTCTCTCACCCAGGCTGGAGTACAGTGGCATAATTATGGTTCACTGTAGCCTGGACCTCCTGGGCTCAAGTGATTCTCTCACCTCGGTCTCCCCAGTAGCTGGTACTACAGGTGCACACCACCATGCCTGGTGAATTTTTAAATTTTTCGTAGATATGGGGTCTCACTATGTTGCCCAGGCTGGTCTCAAACTCTTGGGCTCAAGCGATCCTCCTACCTCTTGAGTAGCTGGGACTATAGGTGTGTGCCACCATGCCTAGCTAATTTTTCTATTTTTTTGTAGAGAAGAGGTCTTGCCGTGTTGCCTAGGCTGGTCTTAAACTTCTGAACTGAAATAATTCTGCTGCCTCAGCCTCCTGAGTAGCTGGGACTATAGGCATGCGCCTGTGTGGTTTTTTTCCTACTGCCTTCTTTGGTGTGATTTTTTTTTTAATTCCATTTTACTTTATTGACTTATCACTTAGATTTCTTTAAAAAGGTTTTTAGTGGTTGCTTTTTTGTTTACATTATACATTTTAAAATAACCTGAGTTTTTCAGGTGTTTTGCCACTTCGCATTTAGTTAAAGTATGGTTATAGTGTGTTCCCAGTTCTTCCCTCTTTTCCCTTTTGCCATTGTTGTTAAGCGTTTTACTTTTACCTGTGGGGTACTTATCCAATACATTGTTACTGCTTTAAGCAATTATCTTTTAGAGCAATGAAAAATAAAAAAATTATACTTTACCTTCATTTATTCTTCATTTTGTAGATTCAAGCTTCTCACTTTTATATATTTTTCTACCTGAAGGACTTCTGTTAATATTTCTTATAGGATGGGTCTCCTGGCAGTGAATTCTCTATTTTTGCTTGTCTGGAGGAAAGCCTTTATTTTGTACGTATGAAGGATATTTTCACTGGATGTAGAATACTGGATGGGCAGTTTTCTTTTCAGCACTTTAAAGTTGTCACTCCACTGTCTTACGAAGTTTCTGATGGTAAGTTTATTATAATCTTATATCTTTATTCCTCTGTATGTAACATATTTTCCCCTCTTTGACTGCCTTCAAGAGCCTTTGGCTTTCAGCAGTTTGAATATGATATGCCTAGATATCCTTTTTTTTTTTTTTTTTTTTTTTTTTTGAGACAGAGTCTTGCTCTGTCACCCAGGCTAGAGTGCATTGGCGCGATCTCGGCTCACTGCAACCTCCACCTCCCAGGTTCAAGTGATTCTCCTGCCTCAGCCTCCTGAGTAGCTGGGATTACAGGCACGCACCACCACACCTGGCTAATTTTTGTATTTTTAGTAGAGACGGGGTTTCACCCTGTTGGTCAGGCTGGTCTCAAACTCCTGACCTTGTGATCTGCCCGTCTCGGCCTCCCAAAGTGTTGGATTACAGGCATGAGCCACCGTGCCCAGCCCCCTTTTTTGGTATTGTTTGGCATTTTCAGTTTCTTTTTCTTTTTTTCTTTTTCTTTTATTTTTTGAGACAGGGTCTTGCCCTGTCATCCAGGCTGGAATGCAGTGGGACGCTCACGGCTCTTTGCAGCCTCGACCTCCAGGGCCCAAGCAGTCCTCCCAGGGCCCAGGCTTCTCAAGTAGCTGGGACCACAGGCATGTGCCATCATTCCCGGCTGATTTTTTTGTTTATTTTTAGGGATGAGGTCTCCCTATGCTGCCCAGGCTGGTCTCCTGGGCTCAAGCCATCCTCCCGCCTCAGCCTTCCAAAGTGCTGGGATTATAGGCATGAGGCACCATGCCCAGCCTGTTTTCAGAGTTTCTTATTGTTACTCTGTAGTTTAGTGTCTTATCACTAATTTCGGTAAGTTCTTGGCCATTCAAATGTTTCTTCTCTGTTGTCTCTTCTTCTGGACTTCTGCCACAGCTGTTGTATGTTCTCCAGGTGGGAAAATCTCTTTTCTCTTTATATTTCAGTTTGGGTAGTTTCTACTAGCCTATTTTCAAGTTTACTGATTCTTTTTTCAGCTGTTTCAAGTCTACTTGATAAGCCTCTCAAAGGCATTTGTCATTACTATGTCTTTATTTCTAATTTGGTTTCCACTTGATTTTTTATAATTTTCATTTATCTCTGAAATTACCTGTCTGATCTCATATGTTGTCTACCTCTTTCATTAGAGTTTTTACTGTATTAATCACGTTCTAATTTACTGTCTTGTAGTTCCAAAATTTATGTCATACGTGGGTCTGGCTCTGATAATTGCTTTGTCCCTTTGAGCTGTGTTTTTATTACTGCCTTTGCCATGCTTCATAATTTTTGTTTAAAGCTGAATGTGCTGTATATGACAGGAGATACTGAGGTATATGCTTGATATGCTTACTGAAGACTGCTAGTTTCCTGCAAGTCCTTTAGGGTGGAGATTTGTGTTAATCTGTTCAGGCATTGGGCTGTGTTTGATGTTTATTATTGCAATGGTTACTGGAGTTGACATTTATTGTTGCCATGGGAACTAGAGGCTTCAAATTTTCCCAGTAATACCTTGTTCTTGTCTTCCTGCTTGGCTTTGGGTTTTCCCTTTGTGCTGTTTCTCCGTGAGAGTCTGAGTCTTGCAGCTTTCTCAGGTGTATTCCATTGTTTTTACTCAAAGCCTGTCAGTTAGTGGAGGGTGAGGGGAGTTCTGTGATGTTCTGGTTAAGCCTCAGATTTATGCAGATAGTAGAACCTGGGTCTTGGGGGTGTGGCCTTCAGAAGACTATTCCCTTCTTTTTCCCAACTGCTATGGGGATTCAATAGTATCCTCAAGCTAAGGTTTTTTTCAGCTCTTTCCGCCTGCATTTAAGGCTATTGCTGTTTTAGAGAAACAGTGAAGATGGATAAGGGTGAAAATTGGGTGTCAGCTTCCTTTCCTTCCTCCAGCTGTAGTGGGATTCCACCAGAAATTGCTCCTTGCTGATTAAGCCTTTTGTTCCACAGGGAGATAAGGGAAATAGGCTGGTTTGGTATTGTTGCTTGCTCTTCCCTCATTAGCTCCACGGGGGTGGAGATGGAGGAGCTTTCTCTACTTCCTCTCTGCTTCCCCCTGCATTAGAGAGCCTTTTGAGGTTCCTGGAGGAAAAGCCCACAAGAGGATGGGAACTCTCCTATGATTGCAGCCCTCGAGGACTTCACACTCTGATTCTAACCTACATTCAGTCTTCAGCAGTTTGTCAGAATTTTTGGTTTAATCTTCCTATCTGCACTGGGATTCTTCCATGCTCTTGGGACTGTTTCCTTTGGTCAGAGACAAGGCTTTTAGGTGCCTGTCTAGCCTTAGCTGTTGCTCCATAAATGTTGTATTGCCTGGAGGCTGGGATAGCAGTAAACAAAAAAGGAAAAAGTGATTTCCTCCCAGCTCTTTTTGAACCTCAGGAATCCACATTGTGGTCAGAGAATATACTGTGTATTATTTCAGTTTTTTTAAAATTTGTGAGACTTGCCTTAGGGTTCAACATATGGTCAATTTTTGTAAATGATCTCTTTCTGCTTGAAAGAGTATATTTTGCAATTATTGGATGCTGTGTCATATTAATGTCTTATTTAGGTCCAGTTTGTTCATGCTATTCAAATCTATATTTCTACCCTCTCCCTTTATTTGAGTCATTTGTTCTATCACCTACTGAGAAGAATACAAAATTTATTATGATTATGGATTTTTTCTCCCACTTCTCTTTATAATTCTGCTGTTTTGCTTTATATATTTGGAGGCTATGTTATTACATGCATACAAATTTAAAATTGTTGCATCTTCCTGATAAATTATACCTTTATAGGTATTAATGGCTTTTGTGCATTGAAGTCTACTTTGAATACAATTAATACAGCTAGAGCAGCTGTGTTTCAGTTTGTTAGTATGACTTTTTCCCATACTTTGAACTATTTTCTGTAATTTTAAGTGTGATTCTTGATTAATTTTTTTTTAAAAATTGATTTTTGTCATCTGGTCCAATTACATTTAATGTAATTACTGAGTTATTTGAATTTATGTTTGACATCTTATATTTTGCTGCTTAAATATGTTTTATTTGTTCTGTAATCTTGTTCTCTCTTCTTTTTTGGATTTGAGTATTTTAATTCTTTCTCCTTTCTATTTAGTGTGTTTGTTTTCCCTCTGGAGTAACATTAGTTACCAGTTACCTGTCCACCATTCCAGAATGAAATAGTCTGTGCATATGCAGTATGTACTCACTCCTTTAAAAGTAGTAGCATGATATATACATGGTTCTGCACTTTGGATTTTTTAAATAAATACACTTTTTAAAAACATATTGCAGATTGCTTGCCGCTTTTACACTCTTGGACAGTACAAGAACCTTGGAACCCTGTGACTCCCAAGTATATGCTCTTGATTATGTATTTTTGTTCTTTATAGAAACCTCATCACACGTTATTATTGCTTTAATAATTAAATGTTGTTTGATATATCTCTCTTTCTGGATTCTAAAACAGAGTATCTGTCTCCTTGGTGATGGGTTGCTAGGTGGGGCTGGTTCAGCTAGATAATTAGGAAAAACTAAGCATATGCTAACAGATGGGAAAAGCCTGTCATTAAAATATATATATATATATATGAAAGAGTGAGAGAAACCGTGACTGAATTTTTTTTATGTTTGGAAAAGAAAAACTTATTCACAGCATGAAAACACAGCCATGAATAGGAAACAGTGGTCATAATAAGATCTTCACTAAGGACCTTAGGAAAAAGGATTTCAAGAGGATCAAAGGAAAGAGGGAGAAGCTTTCTTGGGTAGTTAAAACGTTTCCATTTTATTGTGGCATAAATGAGGTGCAAAAGAAAGGAAAACTGAAATTTCATAGTTGTAACATCTTCGGCCAGGGTGGTGAGAGAGTAGAGAAATATTTAAGCAGGTCTAAAGGAATAAGAGACATCTTACCAAGGCTGGATGCAAGGAAATAGCTCTCACAACCGTCTAGAGGGAGCCCATAGGATTTGCTAAAAGGCAATCAATTTCTTTGGGGCTAAATGAAGTATGGATGACATTTAATTGTTGAAATAAGATGCAGGAGGATGAATTGGATGATTGTACTCGTAATACGTTTCCAGCTGAGAACTATAAATACTCATTTTATCAGATGCTTTTTTAGCATCTGTCGCAATGGTATGAGGAATTCCTGTTGACTCTTCAGTACTTTGTGCGCTCATTCCTTTCCATTAACTTTTTTATTCCATTCCCAGCCATACTAATGGGCTCAGCTCTTCCTTGTCATCTTTTTCTAAATTATAAGTTCCTTACCTAATTTCTCTGATTATCATCTTTCCCTCCTCTCATGCATCTTACATGATCATTAGGCCTAAAACATGTCTTATATCCTGGAAATCCTATAGTGGATCTTTATTTTCTGTTATATCAAGTCAAAATTTTAGTCAGTAGACCTGTTTTGGCCTTTAGGTTTTTCAACTGTAAATTGGTTGGTTTCAACAACCCCCTTGTCTTGTGGGTTGTTGTGAGGATTAGAGATAATGTTCACCTAAGTGCAGTTTAATGCAATTTAATATAAATACTCAATAATTACCTAACATTTGAAGCCCTCTTTAACTTCCCAGCCTTACCCATTTAATCTTATTTCCCCTATTCAGAAATGTGTATCCACCAGTATGGTCCATCTGACCTCTTTACAGTATGCCCAAACATACTGTGATTACTGCCTGCTGGCCGAAGGTATTGGCCCACATCTTTCTGCTTATTTATCCATTGTCTCATCCTTCAGAGCTCAGTAAAAGCTGCTGCTTTTTTCATCAGGCTTTCCCAAACAAATCCAATTCTAACTGATCTTCCTGACTTTTAATGGTAATTGCAGTCTTTCTTACACACTTCACCACTTGTTTAGTTTTGTGCTGTTTTCTGTATGTTTCATGTATGGACATCTTATTTTCTGTCCTAGATTAATTCCTCGAGGGCAGGGTCATATGCTTTATTTGGTCTGTATAATGCTAGGTACATGGCAGATGTCTCAAAAATACTTGTCTAATTAAATTGCTTCTCTGGTAATACCCATCAGAAGCAAGTTTTCCAGGAAAAATTTAATTTTGGTGCTTCCAATTCTCAGTTGTACATGGTGGCTCTGGTTTGTAATTTAAAAAAATTTAATGAATACTGAAGATTAGCCAAAAAATAAATAGAAATAATAAAAACATTTTTTTTTGGTAGAGACATGGGGTCTTGCTGTGTTGCCCAAGCTGGTCTTAGAACTCTTGGCCTCAAATGAGCCTTCTTGCCTTGGCCTCCCAAAGTGCTGGGATTACAGGTGTGAGTCACTCCACATTGCCAAGATATGTTTTGTTCTTCTTGTTGTTGTTGTTTTAAAATTGAGACAGGGTCTCGCTTTTGCTCCCAGGCTAGAGGGCAGTGGTGCAGCCATAGCTCGCTGTAATCTCCAGCTCCGGGGCTCAAGACATCCTCTTGCCTCAATCTCCCAAGTAGCTGGGACTACAGGTGTGCACTACCATGCCTGGCTAATCTTTAAAAATTGTTTTAGAGATGGGGTGTCACTGTTGCCCAGGCTGATCTCAAATTCCTGGGCTCAGATGATCTTCCTGCCTCGGAGTGCTGGGATTACAGGCATGAGCCATCATGCCTGGCCTAAGATAGGATTTTTAGAATTGCCTTTGAATAGAGAATGGCAGATACAGATTAGGAAACTACTTGAAAAAAAATTTTACTTATAAAATTGTGGTGTTTTCATGTACCTGTTTTATATTTCATGTTACTTTAAGATTAGAATTAATGGAATATCCATTCCTTATTCAGTATGATAATGTTAAAATATTTATTGCTTCTTAAAATATTTGCCACTTTATCTTTTTCAAGTGCTAAGTTAATATTTTTTCCAGAATACTTTCTTTCTTGATTATAATTATTCTTGATTATACTTTAAAAAATTAGAAAATACTGAAAAGTACTAGAAAAAAACAAACCCTACTTCTACCAGTGAGAGATGAGGGCTATTAACATTTTGTTGGATATACTTTCAGTCGTTTTCTGCATATCTGTAAAAGGTAAGTTTCCCCATCTAAGTTTCTCACCTTGTAATTCTTAATATTTGCTTTTCAGCTTTTCCTAAAAGGATTGTACACCTTAGAAGTGCTTAAGGAAGAGTGATGAAGGCAAGTATCCAACTCTTTGTAGTCAGTGAAATTTAACTTGGTTCATGTCCAAACCAAAAAAGCTTTGGTCACCATATTTATCAAAAAACTAAAAAATTGGAAAGAAAAACTTAAGGGAAAAAAAGACAAAGCAATTTGTATATAATTTGCTGTGATTTTGTGGAATACCCTCCTAAATGGTTGATAGATTTTAAAAACATAATTTTTTCACTTATTTCTGATACTAATTTAGAACAACTTGTTTTCTGAGTGTGAGCTAATGGCATATTAGGTCTTCAGTAAAATTGTGCTAGAAAAGTTAATTGTTGAAAATTCTGAGAACTTACCAAATTATTTGAAATGCCTGACTGGTAGGTGGCTGCGTTTTTTGTCCCCCTTCCTCACCTTTTGCTCCTTCTACCTCTCCCCTTTCACTCCTTCGACCTCTCCCCTTTTTCCTGTGTCCTTTTGCTCCTTTTTCTCTTTCTCCCTCTGGTTTACTTATAATAACTTTACTTTTCAGAGAAGCTGAGTGAATAAAAGAGTAGCCAGCATTTCCTTCTTACCAAAAAGCATTTGATAGGCTTATGCAGTTAAACTCGTTTGTGTTAAACCAGGGATCTAAAATTAGTTAGTTGGGTGGGGCGCGGTGACTCATGCCTATAATCCTAGCACTTTGGGAGGCTGAGGAGGGTGGATCACTTGAGGTCAGGAGTTCGAGACCAGCCTGGTCAACATGGCGAAACCCCATGTTTTTACTAAAAATACAAAAATTAGCCAGCTGTGGTGGTGGGCGCCTGTAATCCCAGCTACTTGAGAGGCAGAGGTAGGAGAATTGCTTGAACCCAGAAGGCAGAGGTTGCAGTGAGCTGAGATTGTGCCACTGCACTCCAGCCTGGGTGGCAGGGGGAGACCCTGTCTCTAAATAAATAAATAGTTAATTGGGGAATTTTATAAACTGAGCAACAGTTGTTCATATTCATTTGAGCCTCTGTAAGACATACAGAAGAAAAGAAGGGTGTCCCTGTACAACTTTGAGACTATTGAATTTCTTTTGTGCTTGCATTCTTACTGTCAGCAATTTTATAGAGTTAATTATTGCAACATCACTATTGTTGGTATTTTTGCCACAGCATTTGACTTTGGTGGCCTTAAAGATTTTCTATTGGCCTACAGAAAATTTTAGTAGCCTTCAAAACCTTAACTAGTTTCTTAGTGCTGCTATTATGCAGATGATAGCTACAAGTGTAAGTACCATATTACGTTTTATAATCAGTACAGTAGATTGTTTTTCAAAATTATTACCTTAAAACTTGATGTTTAAAGCTCAATTTAGGTTTCTTTAGGGCTGCATGCTAAGTGAGGCTATGTGCTGGTATGATTAAGGTAAGTTTTGCCTTTGAAAATCCGATAATTTATTACTGTTTTGTTGCTTATTCTTCGTAGCTGCGAAGATAGTCTTGGCATGGAAATTAACACCTTACTCCCAGCTTTTCCCAGGAAATGCTAACATTTCCTTGTAATCAATCATCATTTTGAATTATTTGAAAATAAATGATTTGGCCGGGTGCAGTGGCTCACACCTGTAATCTCAGCACTTTGGGAGGCTGAGGCGGTTGGATCACTTGAGGTCAGGAATTTGAGACCAGCCTGGCCAACATGGTGAAACCGTATCTCTCTAAAAATACAAAAATTAGCTGTGCATGGTGGCACGTGCCTGTAATCCTAGCTACTCTGGAGGCTGAGGCAGGAGAATTGCCTGAACCCAGGAGGCAGAGGCTGCAGTGAGCTGAGATTGTGCCACTGCGCTCCAGCCTGGGTGAAAGAGCAAGACTCCGTCTCAAAAAAACAAAAACAAAAATAAATTGTTTTACAAATGCTTGTGAAATCTCAAATGAATTTACTGATATTCAAAATGTACCACATTCTCTATTTTTTAAATAGGCAGCAACCAGATGACCAGTTGATTAGTTTATAATAGTGCCCAAATAAGTAGATTTGCTGAGTAATAAATTCCTAGTACCTTTGCATATGAGACAAGTAGAATGATCCTCAGCTAACCTTGACATCATTCCTTTATTCTTGCTGTCTTTTAATCTCATGGGATAAACATATTTTATACATTTTACTTCCAACAACAACAACAAAAATCAGTTGTATTAGCTAATAATGTGCAAATAGAGGAAAAAGTAAACTACTTTTTCAGTACTGTTCTGCTGCTTTCACACCCTCCCATCTTCTCAGGATCTAAATAGCCCAGTGCAAGAAGAGATGAGTTGATACACACTGATAGGGGATTATTTTGGTTACATTAGCCCTTTTCCTCTGAGAAACTCAATTCTTTCAGTAACTATTAGCCAGCAAGACAAACTCATGAGGAATGGTGAGATAATTACTATTTTTTTTAAAAATCAGAGTAACATTGTATTATGTGTTTATTTCATATTTGGTTAGAAGGGGATAATTAAATATATAAACTATTGGCAAAATTTTTGCCCACAAGGAGCACCAGAAAACCACACCAGAGGCCAAGACAGTCATTGATCTAATAAGGGCAAGGGTTTCTTTCTTGGTTCTCCCAAAGGGAAAGATATGAACAAAACCAATGCACAATCAGGAAAAGGGTAACAGGCCATAGTGGGATGGCTAGATTTCAGTGGAGCCACAAAGAATTTGGGTGAAAGGCAATGAAACTTCCATTCTCATGGTTGTTATTCATTTGCCTAATTTAGGAACAAACAATTTTGTGGCATTTAGAAAGTAGGAAGGTACTAGAGAGAGACAAATGTCTTTATCCCTGTCTCCCTGTTTATGCTCCTCTGTTATGAAGAGATTAGGTAATGGAATCACAGGCATGAAAGAATATGGACAGTGGAGCCACAATGACAGTGCCCATAAAATATTTGAAAAAAGTCTTCTGAGAGTAGTCATCAGGAACAAAACTTTAGTGAGTTTGCATTCCTGTTCCACTAAACTCTAGTAGCCTTGAGTTCACAGGGAACTCTTTTATTCAGCTAATTTATGGCTTTCTAGATTGCCACTTGGTGGCAGCAAGTCCACATATTCCCAGAACAGGAGCACCATGGTGCTTCATTGGTAGTGGCTTAAATTGTTGAAGTACTTGGTAGTGTAGGGAGTTTTAAAGTCCTTTAAACAAAAATTTAAAGAAAAATATGGAAATAACCTCCTACATCATATTTTGCATTCTGTAGCAGCTTCTGTGCATGTATATAATTTTGTCTTATATATTTGCACAAATACAGTACAAAAATAAACACTTTCTATTAGGAAAAATCTCATCATCTCCCATCCCCCCCTCCCTTTTTTTTTTTTTTTTTTTTTGCATGTGATTTTAGTAACCATGGCAGTTGCGTTGATTTTACATCTCTTAGTTTCAGCTTCCTTTTAATTTCTTGCATTTAATACTGGTATATGTTTGCTGTTTGACCTTTCTTTTTCTCTACTTTTCTATCCTACCCAGTTACTTTGCTTTTGAGTTTGTATGGATATATGGGAAGCTTCTGTCAGGGATGACACTATAGAGAAAGGGATTTCTTTGAATCTCCTTTCTTGATAGCTGGTACTGAGCAAAGCTCTAGTCTCTGATTCTGATTCTGTCTGAACCATTCACTCATATGGTGCCAGAAAGGTCATTTGTGCTTCAGCAGAGAATTCAACTTACAGGATTTTTATTTCCATTCTCTTCTCAAAAGAGCAAACCTGTCATCTCTAGTTACCAGTGAACTTGATGAATATGAATGGTAACACACTTTTCCATTAAAATCCACATATAGTTAGATTGGGATATCCATTTCTCACTGTTGTTCTTTGATTATACTGAGTTTCAGCCTGTGAATAATTAACTGTGGTTATGAATGAGAGGGATTAAATTGCCTCAGCTAGAGTAAACCTATTGGATGGTCTCTTCTCTTGATTTCCCAAGCAATGGCTGTTCTGTCAACTACCATTATAGTGTCCATTCCAAGATGGCTCCTCTAATATCTAATTCTGTATATATTGAATCTTGTAGGGATTTTTGCTTTTGAACATTGCTGTTTTAATTTCCTATGGACTTGTTCTGGGCTTTTTCTCTCATTCTAAAAAATAATCATTACCCACTATCTAGAAAACTGTCTTTTAATCTTCTGATTAAAGATTGCTTAATGATAGTGCCTATTTGTTTGGCCAGTAGCATGTTTTTCTTTGTTTTAACACTGGAGTTTCTGCATGGATTTATAATATAAGGTTTTTTTTTTGTTTTTTTGTTTTTTTGTTTTTAACATTAGATAGGCATGAAGCCTTCGTCTCACAGCTGCATGCGTAGTCACTGTTGAAGCAAATGCCTACCTAATTTGACACTCTTGGTGTGTTTAAAAAATTTTTTTGAGTTTGCAAATAAGCATATTAAGTCTACTGATGGAGCCTTCGGGCAGTGAACAGTTATTTGAGGACCCTGATCCTGGAGGCAAATCCCAAGATGCAGAGGCCAGAAAGCAGACAGAATCAGAACAAAAATTGTCTAAAATGACCCACAATGCTTTGGAGAACATTAACGTGATTGGCCAAGGCTTGAAGCATCTCTTCCAGCACCAGCGCAGGAGGTCATCAGTGTCTCCACATGATGTGCAGCAAATTCAGGCAGATCCAGAACCTGAAATGGATCTGGAAAGCCAGAACGCATGTGCTGAGATTGATGGTGTCCCCACCCACCCCACAGCTCTGAATCGTGTCCTGCAGCAGATTCGAGTGCCACCCAAGATGAAGAGAGGGACAAGCTTGCATAGTAGGCGGGGCAAGCCAGAGGCCCCAAAGGGAAGTCCCCAAATCAACAGGAAGTCTGGTCAGGAGATGACAGCTGTTATGCAGTCAGGCCGACCCAGGTCTTCATCCACAACTGATGCACCTACCAGCTCTGCTATGATGGAAATAGCTTGTGCTGCTGCTGCTGCTGCTGCTGCATGTCTACCAGGAGAGGAGGGAACTGCGGAGCGGGTAAGTTTGTAAGATTTTGTTTTTCTGTTAACTTACTGTTTTTCATACCTAGGACTCTCCAGACTTTCCTTTGGTAACTAAAAAGATATCTCAGCAAATACCTTAAAGTTGTGGTAAAAGAATTTTTCCCCTTTTCAAATGGGTAAATAATAATTATAGCTAATGAATGAATGCTTAGAATTATATTCCTATTTCCTTCCTAACATAGTGCTATATTTTATTTTATCCTTTCGTTAAAACCTTAAGTATATTTCATGTATTCTTTCTGTATATTTGAGGGTCAGTTTTATGGTAGAGCAATAAAGATGCTTTGTTTCTTATTGTTTTGATTTTGCACATGGAGATGGCTTTCTTACATTAATGAATGTAGTGAATAAAGTTCTAGAATCTGAGTTTGTGCTTACCATGGAAGTACACTAAGTTGGTTATAATTTTCATATACTTTGTAGTACATCAGCAGCATTCATTTTACATTTTGCATGCCACAGTAGAGCATATACATTATTATAGTGTACTATTAATAAACAGATTGTTTTGGGTTTACCCAAAACCAGGCATATTAAATCTAGGAGAAACTTTTTCCATATAACTCTCAGTTATGGTTAGTTGAGGCACATAGAAGAAATAGTCCTGCTAGGGTTTGAAAACTCAGGTACGCGTAGCCATGCAGGTAGTGACAATGAGTGAACTTAGGTGTTATGGAGCTTGGACAAACTGAGGAGTTCCTGCTTTGTTTAACAGAGGCAATGTCTTAGCTTTAGCTGATGGTTGAAATTTAGTACTGTGGGCACAGTCTTGCCAGAGCTTCTGATTTTTTTCAAGAGAAACTGGAAATCTAGATGGGAAATCTCTTGATTTTTAACAGATATGCAAGCCACACTGAACACATTTGTGGGCTAGGTCTGCCTTGTAAGTTACCATTCAACTATCTTTCAGCATTACTTTTGTGTATTCCTTAAGGTTTTTGTTTGATCGTTTTCATTCTGTGTCTGCTTGCGGTACAGTTAGGTTTTTTTTTATTGGATATTAAGTTACCTGGAAATATAAATACTGAGTCTAGTACCTTAAACTTTTCCTAAGGTTTTTTTTTTATTGGATATTAAGTTACCTGGAAATATAAATATTGAGTCTAGAACTTTAAACCTTTCCTACCTAAATATGATATTTAAAACATATAGATAATGGACAGTAAATCACTTTAAACCTGTCAAAATAATGATGTGAATTAAAATTCAAAAAATTTAAATGGGGAAAAGTACCACATATTTATGTGTATATTCATTTTATTTTTTTTGGAGACAGGGTCTTACCCTGTCACCTAGGCTGGGGTGCAGTGGTGTGATCGTGGCTCACTGCAGCCTTAACCTCCCCAGACTCAGGTGATCATCCCACCTCAGCCTCCTGAGTAGCTGGTACTACAGGCGCATGCCAGCATGTCTGGCCAATTTTTTTTTTTTTTTTTTTGTAGAGAGGAGATTTTGCCTTGTTGCCCAGGCCAGTCTCAAACTCCTGAGTTCAAGTGATCCATCCACCTCAGCCTCCCAAAGTGCTGAGGTTACAGGCATGAGCCACCGTGTCCAGCCTATATTAGTTATCTTTGAAATAAAAAGAATATTTGGTCACTGATTACCCAAACTAGTTGGCAGTAAAGATTGACAGTGCAGCTATGTACCTTGTCTTAATCTTCAGCCTTTACCAGAGAACATTAAGGAATTTACAGCTAGTGATTCTGGGATTATAGACTTTTATGTTAAAAAGAAAAAGTGTAAGTAAAGCAGATTTTATTGGAAAACTTCAAGAGAAAGAGGGCAAAGTGAGAACTTTTTTCATAACATTGTTTCTTTAATGCTTTGTCAACTTTATTAGCATATGCTTACAGTAAAATCCACCAGTTTTAAGTGTACATCTTGACTAGTTTTGAAAAATGTGTAGTTTTATAGTAACACAGTCATTATATAGAACATTCCCATTACCCCCAAATAATGATTTCTCATGCCCCTTGGCTGCAGTCAGTCCCTCTTACCCAACCGGTGGCCTCTGGTAGCCGCTGATCTGCTTTCTATTGCTATAGTTTTGCCTTTTCTAGAATTTCCTAAAAAATTAGATCATGCAGTCTTTTGTGTTTGACTTCTTTCATTTAGTGTAATACTTTTCAACTGTTGTTGATTCAACTGTTGTTGAATGTGTTGATAGTTTGTTCCTTTTTATTGCTGCACTCCAGGCTGGGCAACAAAGCAAGACCCTGTCTCAACCCCCTACCACCCACCCCCACCAAAAAAGATAGATGTAAACTTCGGAGCTTCTAAAGGGAAAGTTTGGAAGTTATGGATTCAGGTTCTCTATTAAGGTTAATATCACTTCAGAGCTCACTATATCATCTTCTTATTTATAGCCAGATTTAGGAAAAGCAGTGTATATTAGGCTGCAATGAGGGAAGCTTTTTGGATTACTTATAGGCAGAAGGAAAGGGAAATTTTTGTAATGCCTGGCTGTACCTGGAAGATAGAGAAAAGTGGAAGAAGTTTGAGGGAGATGTATGTGTTCAAATAAAAAGATTTCTAAGTTTGAATTAGTTGAACTGTAAGCAAAACTAGTAATGCAGGTGTACTGTTCTCCCAGTGGGGAAGAAATGAAGCGGGGAAAAGGATAATTCATTTTGTTGACCACCAGGTGGTGCCCTAGGTGAGGATTGGTAGGTGGAAGTGAGGGGATGGATGCCTGACAGGACATTGATTAACCCCGGGGTGATAATTTAATTAGTACAGGAAGTCATTAGGATGTGGGCTAGCTTGAGCACAGTGACTATTAAATAGTGATAGTGCTCTTATAAATATTGAGCTGAATTGATAACTGTGGAAGTGGAATGGACAATAGAAGAACAGGTAGGATTTGATAACAATGTTAGAATAAAAAATTTTAAAATCTGAAGTTTGCTTGGGAGAATCAGAAAATATTTTCCATTTCCACTAAACAGTTGAAAAATTGTATTTTTTAAGGAAAACCATTTAGTTTCAGTTGGGTGGCTGACACCTACTATGAAGAGAATGTCTTATAGGCCTTTAATAATACGGAACTGGAACAGTGGGCATAAGTTAGAAATGAAGATGTATTTTGGCTTTCTCATTGTTCTCCCTTAAAGATACTTTACGTAGCAAAACTTGATTGCCAAAGCAAGTAACTTACAGGTTTATTGACCCTACCTCTGAAAGCCAGAATGTTTATGGCTATGTCCTTTCCCCCAATACTGAGTTTCCTTTAATATAAATATGTATTCATTGGCCCCAAAGATATTTTGATTATCCTTAATGATCTCATGTGGGCATCAAATATAGTTCTTGTAAGAGTAGAAGTGAAGGTACAGATAAGCTAACTGTTCCTAACCTTGGTAAATTTGTTATGCAAAGTGTAATATCATAGGGATGCTTCTTAAAGTTTGTTTCTGTTTGTTTGGTTGGTTGGTTTTTTTTGACACAGAGTCACGCTCTGTCACCCAGGCTGGAGTGCAGCGGCATGATCTCTGCTCACTGCAACCTCCACCTCCCAGTTTCAAGCAATTCTCCTGCCTCAGCCTCCAGAATAGCTGGGATTACAGGCACACACCACCATACCCAGCTAATTTTTGTATTTTTAGTAGAGACAGGGTTTTACCATTTTGGCCACGCTGGTCTCAAACTCCTGACCTCAAGTGATCCACCTGCCTCAGCCTCTCAAAGTGCTGGGATTACAGGCATGAGCCACCGCGCCCAGCCAAAGTTCATTTGTTTGTTTTTTAAGTCTGAGTTACTTTCTTTCTGTTCAGAGCCTTTTATGATGAAGGCTCAACGTAATGGAAAGTAGAGTTCACTCTTTAACCTCTTTTTCCTTTATACAACAAAATGGTCCAGGCTTTAGGGTAATCAGACTCCTAAACATATATAGTATGTGACCTAATTTCTGCTTTTCTCTTTTATTCATCAGAGATTTGGGTACTTTATCAATAGCTTTGAATCTTAGGAGTAGAGGAGGAGAATTTTAGTATCCAAAGTCCACTACTCTTTGGTTTATCCAGAACGCTAATATAAGGTCTTGCTTCCAAAGAGTCATAGATAGATAGACGGAGGGATAGGCCAAGATTGTGTTTTGTGTAAGGTAATTACTATTGCAGACTGTTTTTTTGTTTGTTTGTTTGTTTGTTTTTCAGGGATCTCAGTACAGCATTTTTTCTCAAGAAAGACAACTTTGGCAAGTTAGCCCAATGTTGAACTAAGTCGGTGTTTGTTAAAAATTGACTTATTTTGATGTTATCATAGCCTATGATCCTGTTGGTCAATGTGAGCAGGCTAGATTTTATTTTTGAACTTTTGTACTTCAGGGTCACAATTAATATACATTATGCGTTAATAGGTGTCTCTCACTTTGTATATATATCAACTTTGGGAATATGTTCCTAAACAAAATTTTAAATATATAAAATGTTATTTTTGTTTTGTTTTGTTTGAGATGGAATTTCGCTCTTGTTGCCCAGGCTGGAGTGCGGTGGCGTGATCTCGGCTCACTTCAACCTCCACCTCCTGGGTTCAAGCGATTCTCCTGCCTCAGCCTCCCAAGTAGCTGAGATTACAGGCGCACATCACCACGCCTGTATAATTTTTATATTTTTAGTAGAGATGGGGTTTCACCATGTTTGTCAGGCTGGTCTTGAACTCGTGACCTCAAATGATCCACCTGCCTCAGCCTCTCAAAGTGCTGAGATTACAGGCCTGAGCCACTGCGCTGGCCTAAAATGTTTTATTTTAAAAATTAAAGTTATGGCAAATCTTTTTATTTTGTCATAGTAACATCTTACTGGGATAAGAAACCCTGACTCAGATTTCAAAACTGTAATAATGAGGAAGCTAAGAATTCAAAAGTCTTGAGTTGCAAAATGAGTCCCTTGCACCACAAATGATTTCTAGTCAGAAGATCACTGGCTGCTGCCAAGTGACTACCAGACTCATAGACTGTTAGGCCTATTAAGCTACTTTGATTAATTCTAATCAAACTCCTGATTTTACAGGTCCAGAGATGTTAAAAACCTGCCTGAAGTTATACAGTTAATTATGAGTGATACCAGGACCAGATCCCTGGGTTCCCTCTTGTTTTGTGTTCAGCATTCTTGCCTCTTTACCTGGTTGAGCATGCCAGAGAATTGAAGAATGCCAGAGAATTGAAGAACACCAGTTCTTTCAAGCAGGAAATAAGAAAAGGGGAAAGGAAAGTTTTTCCTTTTTTCAAAGATTGGTTGCTAGATCAGCTTGTTTGAAGGCAGAAATCTAAGAGCAGTGACAAAGACTGATTTCATCACTACCTCTGGTTTCTTATGTTATTATGTATTTTTTGAGATGGGGTTGGGGTCTTGCTCTAATGCCCAGGCTAGAGTGCAGTGGTGCAATCATGGCTCATTGCATCCTCAAACTTCTGGGCTCAAGGGATTTTCCCACCTCAGTCTCTTGAGTAGCTAGGACTATAGGCATGTGCCACCATGCCTGGTTCTTATGTTATTACTTTTAAACAACTTTTGCCATCATTTTCAGACGGGTAACAGTAGATATCAAATACTGAAATGATTCCCTAAAGTTATTTTAATCCCATTCATCATTAAAATATGAACAGTGACATCCTGGATTCTCAGATGTCTAAACAAAATAATAACAAAATAGTTATTTACAATGCCTAAAAAATAAGGCCTCATAAATATATATAAATATATGTATTTATATTTGAGACAGGGTCTCACTCTGTCACCCAGGCTGGAGTGTAGTGGTGTGATCACAGCTAACTGCAGCCTCGACTTCCCAGGCTCAAGTGACCACCCACCTTAGCCTCTTCAAGTAGCTGGGACCACAGGTGAGTGCCACTGCACCCGGCTAATTTTTGTATTTTTTTGTAGAGGAGTTTTGCGGTGTTGCCCAGGCTGGTCTTGAACTCCTGGGCTCAAGTCATCCACCCGCCTCAGCCTCCCAAAGTGCTGGGATTACAGGTGTGAGCCACTGCATGTGGCCACGGACTCTTATATTTAGTGAGATGGCTGGTTAAATAGTCTTCATGGAGTTATTTCTGCATTGTGAGTTTGAGGGTGGGATGGAAAACAGGGCCCATAATTAAAGTTTCTTACTAACCACATAAAATGTTGCAGAGTTATAGTAAGAAAGAGTGATGACGATGAGAATCATCCCTCTGTTATCTTATTGCCTTAAGACACCAAGAAACCTGCCCTGGAAATGCTGAATTTTAATGAACTCATAAAATGAACTTTAATTGGGAATCTTTTCCATGTAGTTGATAGTATTCTTTGCAAGAATTTTGTTGAAGTGAATTTGTTTTTATATCATTATATCAGATCATTCTTAACAAATATTTGAGTGTCTAATGTATGTAAGATCCTTTCCATGTATACTTTGCAGTTTAATTTGCATGTGAGTATTTTGGGGCAGGTCAATACCTTTAAAAAAAAATGAAGTAATTAGTGCTTAGGGAAAATTTTAAAACTTGTCTAAGACCAGAGAGCTAGTTCATGGCTGAGTCTAAGCTCTTTGCACATGTACACATCTACATCTACATCTACACATCTACAGCACAGATGCCTCAATATTGATAGCTTTTATCATGTACTTAGTGTGGGGAGTGTAATATAAAGGCAGAGAATATAGATCTTAGAATGATACAGGCTGTCAAAAAGTCGGTAATCTGCCAAGTAATTTTCCTAAAACACATAAGAAAAAAACTTGAACAGTTGGTCTTAGTTAAAATTGAAGCAAGATTTGAGGCTTCATAATTAACTCTTGAAGTAGAAACTTAGATGAAAGAAAAAAGTAAGTTTCCCACTGCTTTCCTTATGTACTATCAAAAGGCCACAATGAAATTGCTGGAAGTCGCCACCTCTTACTAACCTCTGAACAGTGCTTAAAAGTAGGAAGTGAGAGGTAATTGGCTGGTTTATCTTTGCTTCCATGCAGTTTTACTGGCCTATAATCTGGTGGTTAATAGCATCGATTGTTTTTAATTCTGTTGTTTTTTTCCTGCCAAGTTGCTATAACCATCTGGGAAGGGTAAGATAAGAGTGCTGGAGCATTGTCCTAAGAAAGTTCCACTTCTCCTTTTGAGCCTTTCTTTAACACAAATCTCATATTGGGAGAGATTTCTACAGTCGTTTTCATTTATAGCTCTCTAACATTCTCCCTAAACGGTTGTCTGGCCTCTCAGAATCTCCCAAAGCAGCCTATTCTACTTGTGCCTCTGTTAGACAAATCTAATATATTAATCTGAATCTGGTACCCTGTATTTCTCCAGTTAGGGCCAATCAGAATATGTAATGCCTCTGCAGGCATGAATTGCCTTCACATTGTGTCTCTTCCTGAATAATCCCTTCTCCAGACTAATAATCCTTAGTCCTTGGGATATATATATATATTTTTTTAATTTAACATTTTTTGATCCAGGCATTTTAAGTGTTTGGGATACAGTAGTGAATTCTCACTACAAACAACTGTACTGTGAAGTATTACTATCTCTATTTTTATAAGTGAAGAAACAAGATGAAGTTGGAATGACTTACCATGTTTACACAATTGGTAAGAAGTTTGTAATGGATGTCAGAACCAAGTCTTTTTAGCTCTAGAAGTCATGCTTTTGACCACTGCTCTTTGCTACTGTAGGTCTTGCCAAGAATAATCTAGTAGGCGTCTTCAAGGCCTGAAATAGATAGTTCAAGGAGAAGGCTCATCTAAGGAATGGCATAAACACCTTCTAGATAAGAAATTCTGAGGTTCCTTGGGATATTAAATGAATCCGTAGCCTTCCTGGGTTCCACTGGGAAACTTGACGTCAAGTAGATTCTTAGCTGGGTTTGGTGGCACACACCATTAAATTTGTGGTTTCAACAATTCACTAAGGACCCCAACGTCCATAAAAAATATGGAGTGTTTCACGAGTTTTTGTGTCATCTTCTTCAGAAGCCATGATAATCTTTGTATTCCAATTTTAGTATATGGGTTGCTGAAGCAAGCCCCGGGTTATTCATTCACATCATAATTTTGAGTACTTAGTCATACTGGTCCATCAACTCTAACTGTTCCCGTTCTTCAGTATTCCGCTTAAATTCTAGTCTCCAGAACAGAACACAATGCCCAGATCTGATTACAGTAGTGAATAGACCTTTCCTAATTCTGAAGTATTATATGCTTATGGTCAGCACAACTCCAGTTTGAAATTGTTTTTCCTTTTTGTGATCTGACTTACCTTTCATCTTTAATTTTTATTTGGCAAAAGTTGTAGAGTTTAATTCAGAGTAATTGAAATTTTTACAGGCAGTAAAATAATACAGATGTTTAGTCATTTTGAGACTGTTAGTAAAAAGACTTTTTGTAGAGAACTTAACTTCTAATTTCTAATATATTTACTTTTAAGAATGAGAACCCTTCACACCTGTAATCCCAGCACTTTGGGAGGCCGAGGCGGGCGGATCACCTGAGGTCAGGAGTTCGAGACCAGCCTGGCCAACATGGTGAAACCCTGTCTCTACTAAAAATAAAAAAATTAGCCTGGCATGGTGGTGCACACCTGTAATCCCAGCTACTCAGGAGGCTGAGGCAGGAGAATCACTTGAACCCGGGAGGTGGAGGTTACAGTGAGCCGAGATCGGGCCATTGCACTCCAGCCTGGGTGACAGAGTGAGACTCCGTCTCAAAAGAAAAAAAGAAAGAAAGAAAAAGAATGAGAACCTTTCACATTCTACATTTTATTTCATTTCGTCTTAGGCTAGTCAAGTGAACTGTTTGGCCTGGAGAAGGAACAAAGAAATCTGTAACTGGTTGTGATCAATTAGTTGTAAGCATTACTGCACTTGGACCAGCCTCAACTTCTACCTTTTTAAATTGGTGTTAGAGATTAACCAAATGTCACCTACATCATTTCCCAACACTGATACCATGTGCTTCAGCACCTCATTTTTCTTACTTTGTATTTATAGTATTATTTATTTAATGTATAGCCATATTCTTCAGAATAATTAAGAATTGTGGCATGTTGAAGAATTCAGTCATTTATTAGCCCTTCAGATATCTTTGTTTTTTAAATCAGTGCTCAATTTGTTTTGCAAAAAGTTTTCTTTAAAACTTTTCTTTAAAAGTTTCTTTAAAACTTTTCTTTAAAAGTTTCTTTAAAACTTTTCTTTAAAAGTTTCTTTAAAACTTTTCTTTAAAAGTTTCTTTAAAACTTTTCTTTAAAAGTTTCTTTAAAACTTTTCTTTAAAAGTTTCTTTAAAACTTTTCTTTAAAAGTTTCTTTAAAACTTTTCTTTAAAAGTTTCTTTAAAACTTTTCTTTAAAAGTTTCTTTAAAACTTTTCTTTAAAAGTTTCTTTAAAACTTTTCTTTAAAAGTTTCTTAGAAACTTTTAAAGAAAATTTAAAAAGTTTCTTTGAAACTGTTCTTTAAAAGTTTCTTTAAAACTTTTCTTTAAAAATTTCTTTAAAACTGATGTCTGCTGATCACAGAAATTTAAAGAAGTTTTGTATTTTTCTTTTTTTTCTTAAAAAATAATTCCCAGCCAGGTGCTGGGGCTCATACCTGTGATCCCAGCACTTTGGGATGCTGAGGTGGGTGGATCACTTGAGGTTGGGAGTTCGAGACCAGCTTACCAACATGGTGAAACCCCATCTCCACTAACAATACAAAAAAGGCCTGGCACGGTGGCTCACGACTGTAATCCCAGCACTTTGGGAGGCCGAGGTGGGTGGATCACCTGAGGTCAGGAGTTTGAGACCAGCCTGGCCAACATGGTGAGACCCCGTCTCTACTAAAAATACAAAAATTAACCGGGCGTGGCACATGTCTGTGGTCCCAGCTAGTCCAGTGGCTACAGCAGGAGAATTGCTTGAACTTGGGAGGCAGAGGTTGCAGTGAGCTGAGATCGCGCCATTGCACTCTAGCCTGGGTGACAGACCAAGACTCCATCTCAAAAAAGAAAAAAAAATTAGCTGGGTGTGGTGGTGCACACCTGTAATTCCAGCTCCTTGGGAGGATGAGGCATGAGAATCACTTGAACCCAGGAGGTGGAGGTTGCAGTGAGCAGAGATCTCACCACTGCACTCCAGTCTGGGTGACAGAGTGAGACTCCATCTAAAAAAGAAAAAAAAAATTCCCAGCTTAATAGAAACTTCAGCCACTCTGAAAATCAAAATATGAAGATGTGGGATAGTCTCTAAGGGCCTAGAAGGAAGAAATTCTTGTTAGCAATTTATTTCCCTTTGGATAATAAGATAGTAAATATTCTTTTCTGTCAGATTTTTTGATTTGGTAATTTCATGATCTTAAAGTTCACAGATATTATTAATTGATTAAGACAGGGTCTTTCTTTGTTGCTCAGGCTGGAGTGCAGTAGTTTGATCACGGCTCACTGCAGCCTTGATCTCCTGGGCTCAAGCGATCCTCCCACCTCAGCCTCCCAAAATGCTAGTGTTAGAGACATGGGCCACCACACCCGGCCGACTCTTATGGGTGAAAAACAAAGATTTTTACTTTGGTCAATAAGGTTGTTTTGGTTTTAAATAACAGTTGACACTGTGCCCCAGAAACCTGATTCAAATGTGCTTGCCTTTTTTTTAATTTAAATTTTATCTTTTAAAATTGATATATAATTTACGTATTTTGGGGGTTCATGTGATCATTTAATACATTTATATAACTCATAAACATCAAATCAATGTAACTGGGATATCTATCACCTTAAATATTTGTCTTGTCTTTTTCTTTTTTCTTTTTAGACAGGCTCTCGCTCTGTCACCCAGGTTGGAGTGCAGTGGTACAGTCATAGCTCATTGCCACCTCAAATTCCTGGCTCAAGCAATCCTCCTGCCTCACCCTCCCTAGTAGCTGGGACTACAGGTGTGCACCGTCACACCTGGCTTATTTTTTATTTTTATTTTTTCTAGAAATGGGGTCTTGATATGTTGACCAGGCTGATCTCAAACTCCTGGGCTCAAGTAATCCTCCCATCTCAGCCTCCTAAAGTGTTAGGATTACAAGCATGAGCCATTATGCCTGGCCTTGTCTTTTCTTTATGCTAGAAACATTTGAATTATTATCTTCTATAATCACCCTACTGATCTATCAAACATTAGGTCTTATTTCTTCTATTTCTTCTATCAGACCCCGTTTATTTGTACCCATTAATCAACCTCTCTCCTTCCCTCCCTCTCCCTTGCCTTTCCCAAGCCTCTGGTAACCACTAGTCTACTCTTTATTTTCATGAGATCCACTATTTTTTAGCTCCCACATGTGAGTGATAACATGTGATGTTTATCTTGCTTGGCTTATTTCACTTAACAAAATGAGTTCCATTTCCATCCATGTTGCTGCAAATGAAAGGATTTCATTCTTCTTTATGGCTTTATAATATTTCATTGTGTTTGTATACCACATTTTCTTTATTCATTTGTCCACTGATGGGCAGTTACATTGATCCCATGTTTTGGCTATTGTGAATAGCACTTGCAAATAAACATGGCAATGCAGATGTCTGTTTGATATCTTGATTTCTTTTCTTTTGGCTATATACCCAGTAGTAGAATTCCTGGGTCATATGGTAGTTCTATTTTTAATTTTTAAAGGAACCTCCGTAAAGTTTTCCATAGTGGCTGTACTAATTTACATTTCTACCAACAGTATACATCCCCTTTCTCCACATCCTCCCCAGCATGTTATTCCCTGTCTTTTTGATAAAAGCCATTCTAACTGGGGTGATGTGATGTCTCATTGTGGTTTTGATTTGCATTTCTCTGATGATTAGTGATATTGAGCATTTTTTCATATACTTGTTGGCCATTTGTGTGCCATCTTTTGAGAAATGACTATTCAGATCTTTTGCCCATTATAAAATTGAATTTGTTTTGCTATTGTTTTGAGTTCCTTATGTATTCTGGTTATTAATCCCTTGTCAGATGGATAGTTTGTAAATATTTTCTCCCATTCTGTGGATTGTCTTTTCACTTTGTTGATTGTTTCCTTTGCTGTGCAGAAGCTTTTTAGCATGATGTGATCCCATTTGTCTGTTTTTGCTTTGGTTGCCTGTGCTTTTGAGGTCTTACACTGAAAATCCTTGTCCAGACCAATGTCCTGTAGCATTTCCCCAATGATTTCTTCTAGTAGTTTCATAGTTTCCAGTCTTAGATTTAAGTTGTTAATCCCTTTTGATTTGATTTTTGTATATGTTCAGAGATAGGGGTGTAGTTCCATTCTGCAGGTGGTTGTCCATTTTCCCCAGCACCATTTATTAAAGAGACTGTTCTTACCCCATTGTATGTTCTTGGTGCCTTTGTTGAAAATGGGTTGGCTATAAATGTGTTGATTTATATCTGGGTTTTCCATTCTGTTCCATTGGTCTGTGTGTTTTTATGCCAGTACTGTGCTAATATGTTTACTATTGCTTTATAGTATGTTTTGAAGTCAGGTAGTGTGATACCTCCCATTTTGTTCTTTTTGCTCAGGATTGCTTTGGCTATTCAGTGTCTTCTGTGGTTCCATATAAATTTAAGAGTTTTTCCTGTTGCTGTGAATGTTACTTATTTCTAGCTTTATTCCATTGTGGTCAGAAAAGTTAATATGATTTATTTTTTTTTAATCGTTGAGATTTGTTTAAGATATGGTCTCTTCTGGAGAATGTTCCCTTGTGGTGATGAAAAGAATGAGTATTCTGCAGCAATTGGGTGAAGTGTTCTATAAATGTCAGGTCTATTAAGTATGGTGTCTACTTTAACTTTTGTGTCTCTGTTGATTTTCTGTCTGGATGATCTGTCCATTATTGAGAATGAGGTGCTGACTTTCTCTACTAGTATTGTATTACAGTCTATCAGTCTATCTCTCCCTTTAGATCTACTAATGTTTGCCTCATGTACTTGGGAGCTCTGATGTTGGGTACATAGATACTTATAATTGTTACATCGGCTTCCTGAATTAACCAGTTTATCTTTATATAGTGACCTACTTTGTCTCTTCCTATAGTCTTCGATTTGTAATCTATTTTATATGATGTAAGTATAGCTACTTCTACTCTTTTTTGTTTTCCAGTTGCATAGACTATATTTTCCCCACCCCTTCACTTTCAGTCTATGTGTATCTTTGTAGGAGAAGTGGGTTCCTTGTAGGCAGCATATAGTTGGGTCTTATTTCTTTGTCCATTCAGCCACTTTATGCCTTTTAATTGGAGAATTGAGTCCATTTACATTCAGTGTTATTTTTGATAAGTAAGGGCTTAATACTGCCATTTTATTGCATATTCTGGTTGTTTTGTAACTCCTCTTTTCATCCCTTTTTTACTATTGTCTTTGTGGTTAAGTGATTTTCTCTGGTAGTATGTTAATTCATTGCTTTTTATTTTTAGTGAATCTGTTATAGGTTTTTGTATTTTGGTTACCATGAGGCTTACAACAAACATAACAAGTTATTTTAAAGAGATGGCAACTTATGTTAGATCACAAAGAAAAGATTAGAAACAAAGATTCTGCCACTTTAAATAGGAATTCACAGGATGAATACTTAAAATTAAAACACTGCAGGAAAATTAGCCTGTGAGTGAAGATCTGGTTCAGGAGTACACTGGGAAATTGTCTGGCATCTTATCTAAACCTTACGCTCAGGTCTTCTCCTAATGTCTTTAGAAATTTCATGGTTTCTGATTGTCAAGCCATTTCCACATAGGAAATGCAAGCCTATAACTCAACTCTTTGGGAGAATAAATGTATAAATAGTTATTCCAACAGTGGACTTTTATCACTTACCCTGCTTTATTATACAAAAAAAAAAAATAAGGAAAAAGAACTTAAGGACAAGTTTAGAATGGATGAACAATTAAAGTGTTTATTATCACAGATGACTTAGTAAATACATTTTCAAATTGTTAAATTTCCTTTAACATATATAAGTACTATTTCCTTAAGAATAATCTCTTCTTCAGTAGAAATGGAATAGCTTCATCTTTTTTTTTTTTAACTTTTATTTTAGGTTCAGGAGTGCATGGGTAGGTTTGTTAAATAGGTAAACTGCATGTTGCGGGGGTTTGTTGTACAAATTATTTCATTACCCAGGTAATAAGCATAGTACCCAATAGGTAGTTTTTCGATCCTCACCCTCCTCCCACTCTCCACCCTCAAGTAGGCCCTGGTGTCTGTTGTTCCCTTCTTTGTGTCCATACTAAATGTTTAACTCCCTCTTGTTAAGTGAGAACATGAGGTATATGGTTTTCTGTTCCTGTGTTAGTTTGTGTAGGATAATGGCCTCCAGCTCCGTAAGGACATGATCTCATTATTTTTTTATTGCTGTGTAGTATTCTGTGGTGTACATGTACCACATTTTCTTTATCCAGTCTACCATTGATGGGCATTTAGGATGATTCCATGTCTTTGCTATTGTGAATAGTGCTGCAGTGAACATACATGTGCATGTGTCTTTGTGGAATAATTATTTATATTCCTTTGGGAAAATACATAATAGGATTGCTGGGTTAAATGGTAATTCTGTTTTAAGTTATTTGAGAAATCGCCAGACTGCTTTCCATAATGGCTGGACTAATTTACATTCCTACTGGCAGTGTGTAAGTGTTCTCTTTTCTCCACAACCTCACCAGCATCTGTTATTTTTTGACTTTTTAATAATAGACATTCTGACTGGTGTGAGATGGTATCTTATTGTGGTTTAGATTTGCATTTCTCTAATGATTAGTGATGTTGAGTATTTTTTCATAAGCCTGTTGCTGCATGCATGTTATCTTTTGAAAAGTGTTCGTTCATGTCGTTTGCCCACTTTTTAATGAGGGTTGTCTGATTTAAGTTCCTTATAGATTCTGAATATTAGACCTTTATCTGATGTATAGTTTGCAAGTATTTTCAAGTATTTTCTCCCCTTCTGTAGGCTGTTTACTCTTTGATAGTTTCTTCTGTTGTGCAGAAGCTCTTTAGTTTCATTGGGTCCCATTTGTTTATTTTTGGTTTTGTTGCAATCGCTTTTGGCATCTTTGTTATGAAGTCTTTGCCAGGTCCTATGTCCAGATGGTATTTCCTAGGTTATCTTCAAAGGTTTTTATAGTTTTTCATTTTAGATTTAAGTCTTAAATATGCCTCATCTTTTTAAGCTTAAAATTATCTCACCTTAAAAACAATAACCTTAGTGTCTCTACCTTTTCTTTTTTTGGGGCGAGGTCGGGTATTTGTTTTGTGAAATCCAGCCAGTGAAGATAAACCAGCAATAAATTTATAGCTTCTTCAATAAAATATCTTGAACAGGGGTATTAAAAGTGAAATCTCAGTACCAGAGATTTGATTTGAGTATTGTGGATGTGATTGTAGTCCTACAGAGTACCAGCTTAAGTTTCTTTGTTATAGTTGTGGTGTTCTTCTTTCCTCTTTTACATAATGCCCTGTTTTTTTCTCATTGGCTTTTTTTTTTTTTTTTTTTTTTTGAGACAGAGTCTTGCTCTGTTGCCTAGGCTGGAGTGCAGTGGCGTGATCTCACTGCACCCTCCACCTCCCAGATTCAAGTGATTCTTCTGCCTCAGCTTCCCAAGAAGCTGGGATTACAGGTGCGTGCCACCACATCTAGCTAATTTTTGCATATTTAGCAGAGATGGAGTTTCACTGTGTTGGCCAGGCTGATCTTGATTTCCTGATCTCAGGTGATTTGCCCACCTTGGCCTCCCAAAGTGCTGGGATTATAGGCATGAGCCACCACGCCCAGCCATTTCTCATTGTTAACACAAAGGTAAAAGCCCTTCTGTACTAATGAATCTAAGAGTATTGAATAGTAAGAATCACCAAAACTTGATTTCTTTCTTTCTTTTTTTTTTTTTTAAATTGAGGCAGAGTCTTGCTCTGTCACCCAGGCTGGAGTGCAGTGGCACAACCTGGGCTCACTGCAACCTCCGCCTACTGGGTTCAAGTGATTCTCCTTCCTGAGCCTCCTGAGTAGCTGGGATTACAGGCGCATGCCACCACGCCCAGCTAAGTTTTGTATTTTTAGTAGAGACAGGGTTTCGCCATGTTGGCCAGGCTGGGCTCGAACCCCTGACCTCAGGTGATCTGCCCACCTCAGCCTCCCAAAGTGCTGGGATTACAGGTATGAGCCACTGCACCTGGCCCAAAACTTGATTTCTTTTTTAAAAAAATGCATAGTCTTGCATTTATTGAAGATTTGCTGAGAAAATTCCCATCTCAGGATCACTTTTCTCAAATGGTTGGACACAGTGGCTCATGCCCCTAATCCCAGCACTTTGGGAGGCTGATGTGGGAGGATCACTGGAGCCAGGAGTTCAAGACCAGCCTGGGCAACACAGTGAGACCCCTGTCTCTACAAGAAATTTTAAAAAAAACAGCCAGGTGTGGTGGCACACACCTGTAGTCCAAGCTACTTGGGAGGCTGAGGCAGGAGGATCACTTGAGGCCAAGAGTTGAGGTTACAGGGAGCTGTTGACTGTGCCACTGCAGTCCAGTCTGGGCAACAGAGTGATATCCTATCTCTAAAAAATTAAAAATAATATATAAAATGAATGGCCATGAAAGTGAGCATCCTAATTCTGATCTATTTGTTTCTGAGCATTTCTTTGTAAGCTTAACAATGGAGTAGTGCATCAGAGTAACTGATCAATATAACCTTCCCCATGTGGATGCTCTGAGGAATACGCTTTAGAATTTTAGTGATATAGAAGCTTATTTAGAAGAACATACACAGTCTTAGGGAGCATACTCTTGGTTTATTAATTAAAAAAACTCATATGTTAAGCAGCTGTGCAAATGCACATTTAAATAACCATTTTACCATAGGATAGGACTAGAATACCTTAAACATTGTTTTCTGCCTTAAGCTCACCACAGGCTTTCCAATAACATTAAACTTGTTTCAACAGTTGTAGATGTTCAAGACACAGCTATACATTCTTCTAGGTGAAAGAACAGTATCCAGGTTTTCTGCTCCATAGAATTGTTATTTTCTATAAAAATGCAAAACACCTGAAGGAAACAATTTACCTAATTTTGTTGTTGTAAATGTGATTGCTTATGAATTGAAACATTGCTTTGATAAGCTTCCTTCCATATTCGTTGATGTCATACATTGTCTTTATATTATATAATTTGTGATGAGTTATACCATAGAATCAAGTTCAGTTTAAGCAGATAAATGCTTGTGAGATTAACATATTCTTCTTAGGAATGTTTGCCCATTGAGCCTTAAGATATAGGGTGAACTTGCTTAAGTTTCTGTACATAAAGATAAAATGCAAGCTGTTTTCTATTGTCAGGAGTTTAGCTTTATGAGAATGAGTATAAAGGTTTTGTGATCCGATTATAGTTCAGGAGGATTTAGGCCACAGTATAAATTACCTGTTTTGGTTCTGCGTACTAGTATGTGATATATGTCTCTTGATTTTTGCTTAGTTTTGTTTTGTTTTTTTTGGGAGACAGTGTCTCTCACTCTGTTGCCCAGTGGTGCAATCTTGGCTCACTGCAACCCCTGCCTCCTGGGTTTAAGTGATTCTCCCACCTCAGCCTCCCTAGTAGCTGGGACTACACGTGCCCGCCACCATGCCCAGCTAATTTTTGTATGTTTTTGTAGAAATGGGGTTTTACCATGTTGCCCAGGCTGGTCTTGAACTTGTGAGCTCAAGCCATCCACCCACCTTGGCCTCCCAAAGTGCTGGGATTACAGGTGTGAGCTACCGCATCCAGCCTGATTTTTGCTCATAGTTCTGTATCAGTATCTTTTGTTGCCTTAGGGTGCAGAGATGTGTGGATTAGTACAGAAATTCAAGACAAGTTTGACTTTCACATGTTGTTTTCATTGTTATGAGGATTTGTAGCTCTAATGTTTTTCTACATAAAATCAGTAAAACTAAATAAAATCAGGGTCCTTATTTAGATGAGTAACTTGCTTTGTCACATCAAGATTAAATGTACTGTTTTAGTGGGATTTACCTAAAAAGAGGTAAAAAAAGAATTGGCTACTACTGAAACCGGGAAAATTGTTTGCAAAATGCATTAATGTTCAGTATGGAAAATACCAAAAGCTATTCTTTTTTGCAGGATTTCAGTACTTTAACTAAATGTTTTTCTATAAATACTGTCTTTACCTCTCTCTCTCTTCTTTTGCACCCTGGAGATTTTTTTTTTCTTCCTGTCAGTTTGTATCTCTTATCATTTACTGTCTGTGGCTTCACAATACTGTATTGTTACAGTACCATTTAAAAAATTACAGCTGGAAGCTCTGAAATGCATCCTGACAAAGGAAGGCTGAATTGTGTGGCTTTAGGCCAACAGTAAGCTACAGGAACAAATGAAATTAAGAAGTTAATATTATTTCAGATATGTGTTTGTGTCCTTAGTCTTACAGAGAATTATTAAAACCAGGAATTTAAAAGTCATATCTGCTTTCCAACACTAGGAGTATGAAACATTTTACTTGCTTGTGAATCTTCTATTTTAAATGTTATTTTTTGTGAACAACTTTCTGTAGATTTATTTAATATAATCTTCCAGAATTTTTTTTTTTTTTTTTTTTTGAGATGGAATCTTGGTCTGTCGCCTAGGCTGGAGTGCAGTGGCGCGATCTCAGCTCACTGCAAGCTCCACCTCCTGGGTTCACACCACTCTCCTGCCTCAGCCTCCCAAGTAGCTGGGACTACAGGTGCCTGCCACCACACCCAGCTAACTTTTTGTATTTTTAGTAGAGATGCGGTTTCACTGTGTTAGCCAGGATGGTTAGCCAGGTCAGGATCTCCTGACCTCGTGATCTGGGATTACAGGTGTGAGCCACTGCTCCTGGCCTAATCTTCCAGGTTTGTTAAGCTCTCAGAAACAAGTTTCTTTGTTTTTTTTTTTTTTTTTCCAGCATATCTAACCCAAGTAAAATTTATTTTAACTTTTTGATCTTTTAATTTTTTATTCTGAAATTTATCTAAATATTTTCTAAATAACATGCTTATGCTGCTATTTTTTTTTCTGTTTTGGATATCTTGACTTCCTTTAATGAAAATGATCATGTAGCTTTCTTATTATCTTTTTCCTATCCATATCTTATTAAAATTTTAGTTATATTTCAATATGCTGTTTACATTATGCCAATGTAAATATATTTACAACTTGAGCTTTGTAGTATAATATGATTACACTTCCCTTTTTATACACCTTTTTGCTGTCTCTGGAGTTAATTGCTTTAATTTTTGTTGTTTATAACTGTCATTGGGTTCTCTCCAAATTCTCAAAGAACTGTAAATCTTTCATTATTTTCTTTTTTTTAAATTTTATTATTATTATTATTATTATTTGAGATGGAGTCTTGCTCTGTTGCACAGGCTGGAGTTCAGTGGTGTGATCTTGGCTCATTGCAACCTCCACCTCCTGGGTTCAAGCTATTCTCTTGCCTCAGCCTCCCGAGTAGCTAGGATTACAGGTGCACACCACCATACCCACTAAATTTTGCATTTTTAGTGGAGACGAGGTTTCACCATGTTGGCCAGGCTGGTCTCAAACTCCTGACCTCAGGTGATCTGCCTGCATTGGCCTCCCAAAGTGCTGGGATTACAGGCGTGAGCCATCATGCCCAGCCTTATTTATATATATATTTTTAGACAGGGTCTTGCTCTGTCACCCAGGCTGGAGTGCCATAGCACAGTCGCAGCTCACTACAGCCTTGACCCCCCACCCCCGACCCCAGTTTCAAGCGATCCTCCCAAAATCTCTCAATATTTTCAAAACAGCATTTACTCTTCTCAGTTTCAGCTTTTCTTGGAGATACACTTCTGGAAGCTCTCACTTTTCCTCTAGTCTGAATTGACTACTCTCCAAGAGTGTTGCACATCTTTTGTTCTGGGACTCCTTAATCTATTAATAAATAACATTCTTTGGTTCCTTGATTTCATATCCTCTTTTTGGTTTATTCCTTTCTTTTCTTGAAATGTACACTCTATGAGCCTTATAGAATAAGGGTGCATGGAAGATAATTTTTCAGAAATTATGCCCATTCCAAAATTTATTTTACCTTTATACTTTAATGGTAGTTTGGCTGAGTACTGAATTTTAGGTTGTAAATAAATTGCCCATGTATTCTTGTATTGTTAGCTTTTAGCTTCCAGTATTGACAAAAAATCTGGTGCCATTCTGATTCTTGACCCTCTGGGTATCACCTGTTTTTCTCTCTAGAATTTCAAAAAAAGCTCTTCTCTTTGTCTCTGTTGTCCTGAAGTTGTACAATGATGGGCCTTGGTGTGGGTCATCTTGGCAGCCCAAGGCATAGGACTCAGAAGTACTCAGCAGACTCAGTACTATGCAGCCTTAGGAGTCTTTCAATCTGGAAAATTTATGAGTCCTTTCAATCTGGAAAACTCAAAGACTGGATCTGGAAACACTGGTTTTAAAAAACTTCTTTCAATATTTTTATATTCTGTATTTTATATTTTATTGTGTAATATTTTATTCATATAAAATAAACATATAAGCTATGACACATAGTAATACACTACCTGTGAACCAGCCATACAACATAAGAATGGGAACATTACCATTGCCATGCTTTTGTAACTCTTTACAGTTCTCCTCCTGTCCTAAATTATATATTTCAGTACCTGGACTTCTAAAAGAAGAATTACTACAAATGTTTGTTGACACTAAACAACTATTGTTTAGTTTTGCCTGCTTGGGGGCTTTGTAAAATGATACCATAGCTTATGTAGTCTTTTAGGGCTTGCTTTTTAGGCAAAAATAGGTTTCTAAGATTGATCCATGTTATCACATATAGCTGTATTCATATTATTTATTTAATTTCCTCCTCCACCTATATATATCTTTTTCTTAGCAGTTAGCTCTCCTGACTTACCGTTTAGTGGTTTTTTTTCCTTTGTTCTTTCTTATTTTCTCTCTGTCTTTTGTTCTAATTTCTGGTAGATTTCCTTAAAGTTTATTTTCCAATCCTTTCACTAAATATTTTATTTCTGGTATTATGTTTTTAATTTCCTGAGTGCTTCTTTTTCTTGTCTATGAATGCTTCTTTTTTGTAGCATGCTTTTCTTGTTTTATATATTTGTTTTCTTTTGTCTCTGAGGGTATTTTCTTTTGCTTCTTGTAATATGTCTGTCTTCTGAGTTTCTTCTCCACTAAGTGTTTTAGTTTCTGTCTTTTATGTTAAAGACTTTTCTCAAGTGTCTGGTTAACCATGGCTTCCTTCTCCTATTTGAGAGAGGCATTAAAATGGTATGGGAAACCCTGTGAGGACAGAGACTAGTTTATTGCAAGGCCCTTCAGTTATCAGTATCTATAGGTCTTTTCTCCAGTTTTCCCTGAGAAATTGTTCAAACCTTTGCCTTTGGAAATGGGTGGATGATGGTGGTGGTAATTAGTCTGGGTGCCTGTGTTCCATAAGACGAGGTGGAAGAGGACTGAAATTCTCATCTGTTGGCTTAGTCTATCTGTCCTCAGAATGATGATCTGTTTTTCATCTTTCATAATTTTATTGGAATCTTTTATCTATTGCTGTCTCCTCTCCAGTTCTCTGCCTGTGTAGGTTTATGCCTTTTATTATTCAATTTTAGTAGAGAGCCAAGATAAGTCTGTTCAACCCTCCGCGTTTAATCCATGCTTCCCAAACTTGTATTAGAATAGAACTTCAAGGGGCTTCGATACAGGCTTGCCCACTAAACTCTTCTTTGTCCCTAAATAAATCACTAGGAATCTCACTTCTGTGACACTGTAGGCCAATTAAAAGAAAATGACACTTACATTACTTACGTTTTGTTATTGAGTAAACAGAATTTGAGACAGAAAGTAGCTACCAAAGTGATTTTGCTATATAATTGTTTTTTGTTTTTTTGTTTTTTTTTGAAGAGACAGGGTCTTACTCTGTGGCCCAGGCTGGAGTGCAGTGGTGAGATCATAGCTCACTACAGTCTTAAACTCCTGGGCTCAAGCAGTTCTCACCTCAGCCTCCCAAATGGCTGGGACTACAGGGTGCCACCACACCCAGCTATTATTTTTATTGTTTTTTTGTAGAGATGGAGTCTCGCTATGTGGCCCAGTCTGGTCTCAAACTCCTAACCTCAAGCAATCCTCCTGCCTCAGCCTCCCAAAGTATTGGGATTACAGGAGTGGGCCACCCAGTCCAGCCAGAAATGTTCTTTTAATTGTTATGATTAGAAACAAACGGATTCTAGTCTTTGTCTTCTCTACTTCAAAACAGTAGTTCCCTATATTTCAACAGACTGTGTATGTGCTAGACAAAATGAGTAATCCTGGATTAAAATCTTTCCTTTTCATTGGCCTACAGTGTCATAGACAGAATAATCTTTTAAATGTGACCAGGTGCAATGGCTCACACCTGTAATCCCGGCACTTTAGGAGGCCAAGGTAGGCAGATTATTTGAGCCCAGGAGTTCGAGAACAGCCTGGGCAACAAGGCAAAACCCTATCTCTACAAAAATACAAAACAATAGCCAGGCGTGGTGGCCTGTGCCCACAATCTCAGCTACTTGGGAGGCTGAAGTGGGAGGATTTCCTGAGCCCAGGAGGTTGAGGCTGCAGAGAACTGAGATTGTATCACTGTACTCCAACCTGGGTGACAGAGCAACACCCTGTCTCCAAAATAAATAAATAAATAAATAAATAAAAAGGTGACTTTCGATATTAAGGCTTAGTCTTCTTAATTTTAATATGGTGAAGGAAACCTGGCTTAAGGTATATAACTCCAGCCTGGTTTTTAGCATGTCTTATATTTAAATATTACTTTGAACCATGTGAAATTGCCAATACTGGAGCAGTTTTTGGCTCACAAAAGTGGTGATTTTATATGATGCACCATAATGAAGTACCATAACAGCTTAGTTAAAAGATTCTTCTGTCCAATATAGGAATTCATTCCGTAGCATTCTTGGAAACATTCTGGTAGGAGAAAAGGATGAGGTAAAATGGGGATTTTTCATATCAAGTAAGGGGGAGAGTTGAGGTCCCCATTGAGTACAACTAGTAGGTCCTAGAGCTGCATTAGGGTTCCTGTGGTGTGCTATAAGCTCTATGCTACTGAGGCTGAAGGCTGTAAATTCATTGATGTGACAATTAGATATACCGTGCCCACAAATCTGAATACTACCACATACTCTCCAAATACCTGGCTGACAAGCTATGGACCTGTATAGGATTTCAGCAAATTTCAATTTAGCCAAAATAGTATTACTTAATTTAGTTTACTCTGTGTATAATTTTCCTATGTGTTTCCTTAGGTTAGTAGTTGAACTTCAAAATGATAATAAAACTGTCCTGGGGTTTAAAACATTGTAAAAATAAAATATGCAACAACAATAGCCAAAGGGGTCAGGGGAGGCCTAATGGAGGTAAAAGGCCTTGTATTATTTGGATTTGGCTAAGGTAGACTGTAAGTTAAGAACATATGATATAATTTGCAGGGTAACCACTCAAAGAATAGCACAAAAAAATGTAGCTATGTTATATCATCTTTCTTTTGGTTAGTATTTGCATGGCATTATATTTTCCATCAGGCGAGTTAGACTTTAAGGCAAGAAGTATTACCAAAGATAAAGAATGACATTTTATAAGGCTAAAGTGGTCTCTTAATAGGAAGACTTAACAATTCTAAACAACTTTCCCTTATTGCTTGGTTTGCTAACCATTCATGTGGTCTTTGGGGCTTTTATTTTTACCAGTGTTCTCATTTTTCACTGCTACAGATGTTTTTGTAGTCTATAAGAGAAGAGTTGTTTGTTTCTCTGACTAAGGTAATGTTCATGTTCAACGTGCTCTGGGCATTGCAAACGATTGCAAGGAATACCACCTGAGAACAAAACCTTAGACATATAATTATTTCATTTAGTGTTCTAATTATTTTAATGTAATTATTGTCCTTTTTAAGATGCTAAGTATGAGAGATGGAATTTAGACGAGGACTAAGAAATTGATTATATTTTAAAATAATTATTTTTTTTAATTACACACAATGTATAATCACACATTGTGTGATTATGAGTAATAAGGTATTAAAAAGAAATCAAAAGAGTAGATATTTGTTCATTTATAAGGATTCTTGGCAGTAAGCCTTTTGTGTTTGTGTGTGCTCTGGGTCTTTAAAGCCTTGTATTGAGGTGTCAAAACTTTTCTGGATAAAGTCATCTGTTGAATTCCATGCCTAAAGGCAAGAAAAGGAAAGTGAGGTTTAAGGAAACAAAATTAAAAGTGCTGAATCAAAGGGCATACATGAAAATAGAAATGCAATTAGTATCGCTTTTTTTATTGTGGTAAAAACACATAACAAATGTACCATCTGAACCATATTGAAGTATACAGTGCTGTAGTGTTAAGTGTATTCATATTATTGTGAAACAGATTTCCAAAATTTTTTCATCTTTCAAGCCTGAAACTCTAAACCCATTAAATAGTAACTCTTCCTTTCCTTCTACCCTCCCCTCACTCTCTGTTCTGCTTTCATTTCTTGGAGTTTCACTAGATATCTCATATAAGTGGAATCATAAGGTATTTGTCTTTTTGTGATTGGCTTATTTCATTTAGCATAATGTCCTCAAGGTTCATTCATGTTGTTGCATGTAATAGAATTTCCTTTCTTTTTAAGGGTGAATAATATTTCATTTTGTGTGTTGAGAGGTAGGACCTTTAAAATGATTATGTCATGAGGGCTCTGCCCTCGTGAATGAATTAATGACATTACCATGGGAGTGGGTTCCTGATAAAAGAATTTGGCTCCTTTCTCTCACTCTTGTGCATGCTCTCTTGCCCTTATGTCTTTTGCCATGGGATGTTGGAGCAAGAAGTCCCTCATCAGTGGTGAGCCCATCAACCTTGGATTTCCCAACCTCCAGAACTGTAAATAAATTTCTTTTTAAATTACCCAGTCTTTGGTATTCTGTTATAGCAACACAAAATGGACTAAAACAGAAGATTAGAGAGACTTTCCTCTTTGTACAGTTTTCTCAAATGCCAAGGTGGCATAAATTGGAATAGTGTGTCCTGAATCTCATTAGAGATTCCTCATGGTTGCTCTATGCTATGCCATGTAGGGAGAGAGGGGCACAAACAGGTGTGCGACATGCCACAAGTTTTCCTCCTCCTTTCACAGGAATACTGTCTTGGTTACAATGGCCTAGGTGCTATTGCTTCACAGCTAGTCTCTATAGTTTTGTTTTTTAAGAGATGAGGTTTCACTCTGTCACCCAGGCTGGAGTGCAGTGGCACTATCATAGCTCACTGTAACCCCAAATTTCTGGGATCAAGCGATCCTCCTGCCTCAGCCTTCCAAGTAGCTGGGACTACAGTGGTCTCTGTAGTTCTTACAGTGGTATTGTAGTTTACATATTGTTTTAAACTCAATATCTCTGGGGGAAAGAAGGCCTATGTTTCCTAGTTCACCATCTTGATGATAGTATACTCTCAAGTATCACTTTTTGAAGTATAAATGTTGCCAGGTAATTTATTTCTTTTTGTACAATGTGTAAATAAAAGGGAATCATAGGTGTAATATTTTGGACTTGAGTAAGACATTTGGTTTTGTCCTTTGTGAGGCCCATGTCTACAAACAGAAAAATTCAAAGCATTGATAACCCAACTTTACAGTTTATGCAATCTTATGTTGGAGTGTAGAAATAAGGTAATAGAATAGTTACATATTAATCCCAAGACAAGACTATATAGTGTCTTAAGGTTTTCCTGGCATTCACAAATATTTATTAAATGTCTGCTCTATGTAAGGTAGTGTACAGTTGAGATACATAAAGTATAAGATGCAATCCTTCAAAGTGCTAATTTTTAACTTGAAAGCTCTGATGCCGGAAACACTAAATAACACTATTTGGTACAGGAGCCATATAGAACATATAAATGTACAAGAACTGTCACTGTACATGATCAATTGTCCAGAAACTGTTGTGAGTTAAAAAGTAGAAATGACATGAAGTGGACTGATCTTACTTCTATAGAAAATGAATTTAGGCCGAATCTTGAGTGTAGGATCATATGTTAGCATCTACCCTAGAGAACAACTCACAAATGCAAAAACAGGCATGGGCCGGGCGCGGTGGTTCACGCCTGAAATCCCAGCAACTTTTGGAGGCCGAGGTGGGTGGGTCACAAAGTCAGGAGTTTGAGGCCAGCCTGGCCAACAAAATACAAAAATTAGGCAGGTGTGTTGTGTGCCTGTAATCCCAGCTACTCAGGAGGCTGAAGCAGGAGAATTGCTTTAACCTGGGGGGCAGAGGGTGCAGTGACCCGAGATCGTGCCACTGCATTCCAGCCTGGGTGACAGGACAAGACTCCGTCTCGGGAAAACAAAAACAAACAAACAAAACAAAAACAGGCGTGTATTGGCAGAAATGTGAAAGTAACCTAAATGGTCATCAAGAGAATGGCTAAGTAAATTGTTCTGTTTATACTGTAGAGTACTGTGTGGCAGTTAAAATAATGTAGGATATATGTACTGACAAATTTCTGAGTAAATTGTTGAATTTAAAAAAAAAAGGAGGTCATAGATAATATGGGTAGTATGATACTGGTTGGATTAAAAAAACCAAACTAGGCTGGCCATGGTGGCTCACGCCTGTAATCCTAGCAAGCACTTTGGGAGGCCGAGGCAGGCAGATCAAAAGGTCAGGAGATTGAGACCATCCTGGCTAACATGGTAAAACCCTGTCTCTACTAAAAATACAAAAAATCAGCTGGGCGTGGTGGCGGGCGCCTGTTGTCCCTGCTGCTCCGGAGGCTGAGGCAGGAGAATGGCGTGAACCTGGGAGGCGGAGCTTGCAGTGAGCCAAGATCGCGCCACTGCATTCCAGCCTGGGCAAGCGAGATTCCATCTCAAAAAAAAAAAAAAAAAAAATAGTGTGAGATGTGCAGAGAGGGAAAACGTATCAGCACATGAAATACCTTGTAACTATTTCATTTATATAATTTGCTACGTGTTCTTTGCAACATAGTGAAAAATAATCATGTCTGATGTTTAGTAGGCACATAATAAATAGTAATGGAATGAATGGTTGTATATTTAGAGAGCCATGCTGAAAGGTTAAATAGCAAAATATGACTACTTGGAGAATAATGTTAAATTGTCAAGGAGAGTAGTGTTATATGAATACTCAGATGGATGGATATATAGAAAATGAGAAAAGCGACAGAAGGAACTTAAAGAGATTTTAAAAATAGCTTTGTCTAAAGATTAAAAATTAAAGTTCTAAGTAACTTCCTAGGAAGATATACAAGACCACAATGAGATGCCATGACACCTCTACCAGAATGGATCCAATTAAAAAAAAAAAATCAAGAGTTGGCAAGGATGTAGAGCAACTGGAACTTCCATACATTATTGTAAGAGTGTAAATTAGTACAACCACAGGGAAAACCGTTTAATAATACCTGCTAAAATGTAAATCTTACTCTGTCCTTTAGGATTTCCATTTTTAGGCTACATATACCCAAGAAAAATATGCTATATGAGCTCCAAAACAATCTGATAATTTTATAGCAGATTTATAATAGAGAAAAAATAGATACAGCATAGATTCAAAAGTAGAATGGATAAATTGTGGCATTATTCATACACTGGCATATACTATAAAGTAATAATAAAGAACTGTTACACACAACTGCATGGATGGATTGCAAAGATATGATGAGCAAAAGAAACCACACACAAGATTCCTTTATATGAAATACAAGAACAAGCAAAGTTAATTTATGATAGAAGTCAGTTACAGTTACCTATTGGGGAAACAGCAGTGAAGACATTAGGAACCTTCTGGGGCAGCAAATATTCTATATCTTGATATGGACATAGATGTTTTATATCTTTATATGTTTATGGCTGTGAGTGTGTGTATATATATATAACAGTGAATGTGTTTATGTGCATACATACACATATACACAAAATAAATTTGTGTATAGGTATGATATTTCAAGACATCTTCAAAGGGAATCTAATAGAAAATGTTTCTGAGACAGAGTCTCGCTCTGTCGCCCAGGCTGGAGTGCAGTGGCATGATCTCGGCTCACTGCAAGCTCCGCCTCCCGGGTTCATGCCATTCTCTTGCCTCAGCCTCCCGAGCAGCTGGGACCACAGGTGCCCACCACCACGCCCAGCCAATTTTTTTTGTATTTTTAGTAGAGATGAGGTTTCACCGTTTTAGCCAGGATGGTCTCGATCTCCTGATCTCGTGATCCACCCGCCTCGGCCTCCCAAAGCGCTGGGACTACAAGCGTGAGCCACCGTGCCCGGCCCCAGAAAATGTTTTTAAAGTAAGGACATGTTAGGAAAATTAACATCTCGATCATAACCTTGCTAAGAGAGGATAGAGGAGCATATGGAAATGCCATCTCTGAAAAATACCATTACAGAATAGGCAACAACCTTGAGTTAGTTGGATACAAGGAACTGGGCCAAATAGCCTCTTGAAACTACTTTCTGCTCCTCCCTTCTTACCGTCCTTTCTTCCTTTCATGCATTTACTGCAGGTAACGCATGATACAAGTTTTTTTAGGAGAAAGAAATGTGGAGCCCAAAACATTGCTAATATAGAAGGAATCAGGCTTAATTTAGCATGTTTCAAAGAGCCGTGTCCAAGTCATCCAAATAAAGACCTTATTTGGCAAGGTCAGCTGCCCTTTAAATCAACCCTCACAAGTTAAGGTATTGTATATGGTACTCAAATTTTTGATCACCAACATCTTTTAACTTCTTACTACTTAACAAATTCCTCTACTTTCATGGTTATTTATATTGGCAGTTGCATGGGCTTTTGTAAATAACTACATAAATTACTTAATCTGTTCTTATATAATAAAATATGCTATCTGTATTGTTATTTATTGTGGGATTGCCAAAAGAATCTCATTTAAGGGGCCTAAAATGCCACAGAAAACCCTAAAACTGGCAGCATTGTTGACTAAACATTTTGAAAATAGATTTCTTCACTCCTTGCTTTAAATGTAGACAGTAACTAAAAGAATAATAATTTCTGAAAGAGACTATTACTTTGTTATTTGTTAATGAGCTATTCCCATTTGGGCAGTTTGTAGGAAAATAGTTAACAAGTCTGTGCAATTTAGAATGGAGAAATTACTGAATTTTGTTACTATTTATGTTTCCATTTCATTAGTAGAAAACATTCTGAGCACTTCTTTAGGCTGAAAGCAGGTTGCCTTGTTAGTGAGGGAAATTAAGTTTCACTTACCACTTGTTTCACACCCCTGTCTCCTTTCCTTTTTTTTTTTTTTTTTTTTTTGGATAGGAAGAATCTTTTAGCAATGATTTAGGATTCTAGTTGCTTATATCAATCAGAAACACTGTGTGTTTAAGACAGTGTGTCTTTCTGTAAGGCACTTCATTATTTCCGCATCAGTATTTCATGAATCCTTCTTACATTCCTAGGAGATAATTTCAGAATACTGTTTCACTATCTCTGCGAGAAAAATGGAGGTACTGGTACTCTTACCACTCAAAAACCAGAAAGGCGGCTGGGCATGGTGGCTCATGCCTGTGATCCCAGCACTTTGGGAGGCTGAGCGGGCGGATCACCTGAGGTCAGGAGTTCGAGACCAGCCTGACCAACATGGTGAAACCCCATGTCTACTAAAAATACAAAAATTAGCCGGGCATGGTGGCAGGCGCCTGTAATCCCAGCTACTTGGGAGGCTGAGGCAGGAGAATTGCTTGAACCTGGGAGGCAGAGGTTGCAATGAGCTGAGACCATGCCATTGCACTCCAGCCTGGGGGACAAGAGCGAGACTTCGTCTCAAAAAAAAAAAGAAAAAAAAAAAAAAGGCACACAACTCGGGTGCTCTGTCAACCTACTTTCCACTTGGAATTAAATTTTAAACAGCTTAAATGTTAGGTTATATTGTGTTCTCTGAACCTTGGTATGAAGGAGTCTTTACTTTTGGTTATAGGTGTTCATCTAAAAGCTTTTTAGCTTTGGAAGTTTACAAAAAATACACTTAGATATGTTCAACCTTCTTTCTGCTTAAAGTTTTTAAGAGTAAAAGATTTGTTTGTTTGTTTTGTTTTGAGACAGGGTCTCTCTGTCGCCCAGGCTGGAGTGCAGTGGCATGATCTTGGCTCACTGCAGCTCCCACCTCCCATACTCGAGTGATCCTCCCACTCCAGCCTCCTGAGTAGCTGGGACCACCTACTCATGCCACCATGCCCAGCTAATTTTTTGTGTGTTTTTTGTAGAGATGGTGTTTCACCGTGTTGCCCAGGCTACTCTCGAATTTCTGAGCTCAAGCAATCTGCCTGCCTTGGCCTCCCAAAGTGCAGGGATCACAGGCATAAGCACACATGCCCAGCCTAAACGTTTTATATATACATTTTGGTTAGGTAATTTTTTTTTGGAGACTTGGCAGCCTATTATTTGTTTGAATTTGATGCATCTTCTCTGCTCTTCCCGAGATATTATGAAATACGTGTTTTTTTTTTTTGTTTGAGATGGAGTGTCGCTCTGTCGCCCAGGCTGGAGTGCAGTGGCGTGATCTCGGCTCACTGCAAGCTCCGCTTCCCGGATTCATGCCATTCTCCTGCCTCAGCCTCCTGAGTAGCTGGGACTACAGGTGCCTGCCAGCACACCCAGCTAATTTTTTGTATTTTTAGTAGAGATGGGGTTTACACCGTGTTAGCCAGGATGGTCTCGATCTCCTGACCTCGTGATCCACCTGCCTCAGCCTCCCAAAGTGCTGGGATTACAGGCGTGAGCCACCGCGCCTGGCCTATGTGTGTTATTTTTTAGGTAAAATTTTAGATCCTATTTGGTGATAATTGGATACTGGTAGTATATGATACGAGCATAGTTGAGAATAATCATTGCATAGAAACCTGTCTTTTCAAATTCATTTTTTTGTGTTTCTTACCTGAAGAAAAAAGTTACAAACACTACATGATTTTCTCACAATAATATTGATGTTTTATTTAGTTTTTATTTTTAGAGATAAGGTCTCACTCTGTTGCGCAGACTGGAGCATCATGCCTCACTGCAGCGTCAAATTCCTGAACTCAGGCAATCCTGCCACCTCAGTCTCCCAAGTAGTTAGGACTCCTGAGTAGTAGTTAGGTAGCACATGCTACCAAACCTAGCTAATTTTCTTATTCTTATTTTTTGTAGAGACAGGGTCTAGCTTTGTTGCCTAGGCTGGTCTTGAACTCCTGGTGTCAAGTGATCCTCCTGTCTTAGCCTCCCAAAGCATTGGGATTACAGGTATGAGCCACTGAACCTGGCCATATTGAGGTTTTAGAGCGAGAAATTACTACTTATTTGAAGAGTTGGGATACTACAGTAGTCTTCCCTTATCCACAGGAGATATGTTCCATGACCCCCAGTGGATGCCTGAAACTGAAGATAGTACTGAACCCTATATATACAGTCACGTGTCATTTAACACTGGGATAACTTCTGAGAAATGCATTGTTAGGTGATTTCATCATTGTGAGAACATCGTAGAGTGTCCTTACATAAACCTAGATAGCATAACCTACTACACACCTCGGCTATATGGTATAGCCTGTTGCTCCTAGGCTACAAACCTATATAGCATGTTACTGTACTAAATACTGTAGGCAGTTTTAATACAGTGGTATGTATTAGTGTATCTAAACATAGCTAAACATAGAAAAGGTACAATAAAAATACAGTATTATAATCTTATGGGACCACTGTCATATATGTGGCTAGTTGTTAACTGAAATGTCATGTGGGTTACGACTGTACTGTGTTTTTTCCTATACACATATCTGTGATAAAGTTTAATTCAGAAATTAGGCATAGTAAGATGTTAACAGTAACAATAAAATAGAACAATTATAACAGTAGGCCAGCACCACTCCTCTTGTGCTTTGTGACCATTATTAAGTAAAATAAGGGTTATTTGAATACAACATTACCATACTGCAACAGTCGATCTGATGACCAAATCGCTTACTCAGTGACTAGCGGGTGGGAGCCAGGGCTGGATAGGCTGGACAAAGGGATGATTCACATCCCAGGTAGGATGGCATGAGGTTTTATCATGCTACTCAGAACGGCATGCAGTTTACAACTTCTGAATGGTTTGTTTCTGGAATTTTCCATTTAAATATTTTTGGATTGCAGTTGACTGTGGGAACAAACTGTAGGTAAGGGAGGACTATTGTAATACAAATTTTATAAGGTTGTTTTGATAAATCAATAGGATAATAAATGTGAACTGCCTAACATAGTGACTGCACATAGTAGGTTCATTCCAACAAAGGCTTTAAATGTAGCATATGACATAACTTTGCTCACAGGAAATTGAGAGACACTGGAACAGGGAAAAAAAATATACGAATGAGTTCTGCCCTAAACAGTACTAAATTCATTCAGAAGTAATGAACAATTCCAAGAGGAGCACATAGACTGGAAAGTTTCATTAAATGAAACGTTATCCTCACAGTGGTTGTCTGGAAGCAGACCCAAACAGAGGAAGAGTGGCAAAGATAGGAATATTTTTATCTTTGGAACTGCTCTTACAGTTATTTTTCATACCTCTTTACCTGCATTGATTCACTCTGAGCTGTTCCTTTTGTTTTGTGTGTAGATTTTAAAAAATTACTTCATTCCAACAAGAGAGGGCAATTACCTCAGGAGGCCACTTTAATGTGTTTAACTTTGGCACAAGTTGAAGTCACCGTCGGAGTATGCCTCTCTGCACCTGACATTCCTTCCTGAGGCAGGACCCCTCCCTGTGAATAAGAGGAAAGGCTTGGCCAATTATGCTAGACAAAGCCGCACAGCTGCCGAGCCCAGCTGGGAGGAGTTTCCTTCTTGAGCAGGGAGCTGGTACAGCCAGGGGCTTGCTTTTCACCACCTCCTTTTTTTTCACACTGCCTCACCTTAAAGGATTACCTAAGGTGGAGGTAGAGAAGGGTGCGTTGCTGTCTGCAGTGGACACTCTCTGCTGCTGGGACGGCTGAAGAGGGGAGGAATTGGTGCAGTTGCCTGTCTCCTACTTGGAGCAGATGCTGTCTGACCCCAGCACACCACTCCTCCTCCCACAGAGACCGGAACATCAGGTCTGTCCTCTGGAGTTTCAGGTAGCACCACAGCGGCATCCTCGCCTACTGGTCTGGTGGAAAGGGAAGGGGTGGTCCTTGTGTTTGGACCCCTCACAGCTGACTCACAGGAAGTGCTAGAAGAGCTTGGCACTGGGCACAGCGGCTTCAGGATTACTGCCCCACCCACCCTGCCCTCTCCCACGTAGGTTTTCCAGTATCTCTTGATAGAACAATGAAGGCTTTCCAAGTTTGCTAAGACTCCCAGGGAAATTCTTTGCACTTCTCTGGCAGTCTTCAAAATGTTCTGCCACCGACTTTCCCAAGAAGCTGTTATTTAAAAAACCCTTCGTGGATTGCTTTGTCTGAAGATCCTCTGGGTGATCATGGTTCAGCGCTTTAGCCTCAGGAGGCAGCTATCCAAGGTGGGTTGGTAGTTTTCTATGTTTGTGGAGGGGAAACTCTCACTTGCTTCAGCATGGTTCCTTTTTCTCTGGAACTGTTCTGTCAAGCCTGCCGTCCTCCAGCGCTAAGGAGGGGCTGAGGGAGGAAGCACTGCCTTTTGTTCTTTTATCTGACAGGCACAAAGCTTGAAGGCTGACTGCACTGGCAGCCCCAGATTGTGTTCCCCTAAAACTGCAGCTGTCATCTGAATTTGGGCAAAGTTGTAGTTTGCTCCTGAGATAGAATTTCCAGAAGGGTGTGTGTGAAAGAGATAATTGTGGGTTGAAAGTGTATATTTAATAAGCAATTAATCTGTCAGCTTGTGGACCAAGAGGAGAAAGCCTTCTTCTCTGTGGAATCAGTGCTTTCATACATTTCACTATTAAACTGAGAAAAACTACCACAAAATAGTTTAATGAGCAAGACTGGCATTAAAATGTTAAAATGAGTGGTTGTGTTGAGAAACTTGAATACTTAATGAAGTATATGAAAAGCAGTTACAGAGAGGCTCACAAAGCAGTTTTTACAGAGTTCTGATGAAAAGCAGGTTCCATGTGTGCAGCTTTTGGGGAAAAGTTTTTTTAACCTGAGAAAATCATACTTAAAATAGTAAAAAGGTGAAGCACGCATTTAAGAGGGGATGGTGATTTATGAAATCCACTCTGCCTGTAGCCAGCCCTCCTTGACCCAGTCATTTAGTGCAGAAACTAATATGGAAAGAGGTGTGGTAAGAGTTGAGCTTTATTTCAAAACCCATTGTGTTCTTTAAAAGCTCCATTTAAAAAATGTAGCAGTTGGTGGCTCAGTTGTGTCACAGTTCATTCCCTGAATACAGAAGCTTAAACAAATAGTAAGTCTGTAGGCATTCTTCACTGCCTTGGCTGTTAATCAGAATTGTTAGATCCTGAAATGTATTGTGATCTTAAGGGAAAACCTTTAGTTCCCTCACAGGTGACCCCAGTGTAGAGTGTGTGCACTGATGCAGAAATGAGCAAAGTGCTTGCTTCCATCCCTGTGTCACATATGCATAGTTTTTCTTGGGACTTCTAAGCCTAACGGGATTTTTAGGAGTATTAAAATATATTTAACTTGCTCCCTTCCCCCCTGCTCCATGGTGTGTGTGTGTGTGTGTGTGTGTTTGAAGGCCTCCACATTTCTCTTACACAATAAAAAGAATCATTTTTGTTGCTCTTTCAATGTCCTCCAGTGCTTGTATTTTCATATATATAGTACATTTAAAAAGCAGATGGGTAGATATCAGGGCAGTGACGTTCCTGCACAAGAGTGTCTGATAGTTGAGAGCCAGGTGATAATTTTCTAATTAGAAGGTAACTATATTATGGGTATTTTGCTGCCAGTACTTCTCTCCCAATTATTTTTTAAACTTTACCCTCTTCACTCTATACTATGTATATGACTGATTTACAAAAAGTACACTTTTGAAGGAATGGGATGCATCCTCTCTTTAGGTACATTACATAAAAACACTCAAAGATGTAGCCTTTTTTCATTCCTTTTCCTGGTACCCTTATTGCTCATTTGAATGTGATTTATGGATCCTATAATGGATGATCTAGACCAAAGCTAAGGAAATTTGTTGTCTATCAGATTTACTGTTCTATCAGAGTAATGAACTGAAAAAATATTTTTAATTATTTCAGTCTGTAAGGCACTTAAATATGAAGGAGAAACCGAATAGTTATGTTAGTGAGTTTAAAAAACAAACTCAGCAAATGGATCAGCGTGGCCAACATAGTGAAACCTCATCTCTACTAAAAATATAAAAATAAACCGGGCATGGTGGTGCGTGCCTGTGGTCCCAGCTACTTGGGAGGCTGACGACGCAGGAGAATCGCTTGAACCCAGGAGGCAGAGGCTGCAGTGAGCTGAGATCATGCCACTGCACTCCAGCCTGGGTGACAGAGCGAGACTCCGTCTTAAAAAAAAATATATCAGCAAATGCATCGTGCCTCTATTTGTCTTTTCAGCTAAATCCATAGGTTACCTGAGAGCCAGGGACCTGCCATACCCCAGTTTATGGTATTTCTGGCACATATTGAACACTCAAAATGAAATCGTTTTTTCATAGATATATATATGTGTATATATATATATGTATATATATATATACAGTTGAACAGCAATTTCAGATGTTTCCGACTTCAGTAACAAGCATTTTTGCTAATAAGTAATTTTCCACAGGAGTAGAGTTGTCTTAAGATCTGAGTTTTAAAAACAATTTCCTGTTTTAACAAAAAGAAAGTACTGATGTGACCATCTTTAAATTTCTTTAATTTCTCTTGGAAATTTTCTGAAAGAAGATATAAACGTTTGCAGTAATTTTAAGCCTAATACCCACTTTAGATGCTTTTTATGTTAAGGTTGATAGTCATGCTTACTTACACTGGATATTTTCCTTAAAATATTCAAGTGATTGTTGTAGGCTGGTAGATGTTCACATCTGAGTTAAAAAAGGAAGTAAATTAAGATTTAGGTGAAGTAAAAAACATTCCATTTTAAGAAAGATGCTCACCTGTTCTCTTTGACTGGATCTCAGTTATGTGATTCACAGAAAAGTTCTCAATTTTCCTTGCCATTTTAGATCATTTTCTTCCTTTATAGTTATCTTACATGTGACTTCAAAAATACTTATTAAGGAAACCTTTTTCTTCCTGCCCCATGTCTCCTGCGTGAGCCATCCAAAATAGTCTAGAACCTGTCAATGTGGATATTTCATTTAATTCTTGAGTTAGATAGTATCAGCTTGTTTTTTATCATTAAAAGAAACTGAGTTTCAGAGAAGTTAAGTCATTTGGACAAGATCAATAGGAAGCCGAGTCAAACGTAGGTCTAACAAGCAAACCCATTCTGTTTCCCCATACCAACTGCCTCCCTAAATTTCTGGTGTGTCTGGCCGGGTGCGGTGACTCATATCTGTAATCCCAGCACTTTGGGAGGCCAAGGTGGGTAGATCACGAAGTCAGGAGATCGAGACCATCCTGGCTAACATGGTGAAACCCCATCTCTACTAAAAATACAAAAAATTAGCCGGACGTGGTGGCGGGTGCCTGTAGTCCCACCTACTCAGGAGGCTGAGGCAGGAGAATGGCATGAACCTGGGAGGCGGAGCTTGCAGTGAGCCAAGATTGCACCACTGCACTCCAGCCTGGGCGACAGAGGGAGACTCCGTCTCAAAAAAAAAAAAAAAAAAAAAAATTATGGAGTGTCAATCATTCTCTCTATCATGATCTCTGATGTTTTTCTATGTTTATCTACGATAGAAAACAATAAATAAACTTGTGTAACTTGGGTAACTTCCTTAGAGCAGCCCTTTCCTATAGAGCTGAAGTATGTGTCCAATAGAGTTTGAACTTAGCAGTCAAACTTGATAAAATATTTCCCATAATTAAATTTGTTTTCGTTGGCCAGAGAGGTATTGATTTGAATAAGATCATTGATTTAATAAAGCCATATTAAACATGGAATAATTAGATGTAAGTTGAAACTTACCTACATGCAGTTGTGAAACTTTAAATTGCACTGTCTTTTAAAGAACTTCTATTAAGGAGAAAAATTTACTCTTGAGTTTCTATAATAATGTTTAAGGATGAAATACAGTGAGTTAGACATTCTTTAGAAAGTCCTTCTTAAATTACTCTGGCCTGCACTCTGATCAGAGGAAACTATTTCCCAAAATCTTTTATGGGTAGCAGAAAATCAGTTTTTTCTAAAGTATGATAAAGGGTAGGGGAACTTTGAGAAAAATTGTAAATATTATCTCAGTAAAATATTATACCCTTTTATTTTACTTTTGAATGGTAATTATTTTCACAGTTCAAAATTTTAAATTACATAACTGAAATCTCAGCTTCTGGCTGTGTCATTTCGTGTAGTTCATACCCCTATCTCTGTAGGTAACCAGTTTCTTATTTATCCCACTGTTTGTACATACGTAAACAAATATGAACATTTATTTTCTGACCATTCTAACATGAAAGATAAATGCCATACAGATTGTTCTAAGATAGTAACTCAAACTTTAATTTTCCAGATATGGATCTTTGAATAGTTAGCTCAGTTTGGAGTTCACATTTATTTTCACGTTTTCATGTGAGACTTACTTTAGGGTAGAGGTAGCCTCACAGCAGCCACTTTCTATATTAAAAATCATTGAAATAACAGTAAATCAGTGATGATTCTTTTTCAATCATACCTTATTTTCTTCCTGTTCTATTTGAGAGCTTTCTTTTGCTGTCTTTACATTTTTCATATGGTGAAAAAACATGAAGGTAAAAATCCTACCAATATGTCTTGGGTTGGCCTGTGAAGAGATTAATGGCTGAGAAATAAGTTTGTGGCATCTTTTCCTAGTTCTGTTGATTTTATTGAAATTATTTAATCCAGACTTATAAAGCAGTTGGAAATATTTTAGTCTAAAAATGCTACCCTTGCCATTTCCACATCTCATAGTGTCCTGTCACTTGGTATCAGTTTGTTATCAATAAAAGAAAATTAAGAAGTGGAGAGCCGGGCACGGTGGCTCACGCCTGTAATCCCAGCACTTTGGGAGGCCGAGGTGGGTAGATCATGAGGTCAGGAGATCGAGACCATCCTGGCTAACACGGTGAAACCCCGTCTCTACTAAAAATACAAAAAATTAGCCGGGCATGGTTGCAGGCGCCTGTAGTCCAAGCTACTTGGGAGGCTGAGGCAGGAGAATGGCGTGAACCCAGGAGGCGGAGCTTGCAGTGAGCCGAGATCGCGCCACTGCACTCTAGCCTGGGCGACAGAGCGAGACTCCGTCTCAAAAAAAAAGAAGTGGAGAAATGTTGGTCAGAATTTGAATTTTTAATAAAACCTGTTGTTTTTTTCAGAAGTAGTTTCCTTTGAATTTCTACCTGATTTCTTTTGGGTTTATGGCCTATGATACATGACTGACTTAATCTTTCTGTGATATCTTTTTAAAAGTAAATAGAGATCTCTTATTTCCATCTTGAGTAGGTTAATTAGGGTTGTTTAAAAGTATTTTGATGACTAAAATGGTAAATTTTATGTATATTTTACTACAGTTTTTAAAAGGCATGTTGAACCCTCTTAATGATAAGCACTAGGTGGGTACAGTGAAGTAGTATAATATTATATGTAATTAACAGTCCTGAATGCATAGGTAGAGTCAGTACTGGATGCACGTTTTCAAATAATGGAAGGACATACCTTTCCTTCTTATGCTTTTATGTAATTAATTTTCTCTAAGTTACTCTAGACATTGACAAACTTCATACTTGGAAATGTAATGTTTTGCATTTCTATTTTACTAACAGTTAAATGTAATATCTTCTTGTTAATCATTAACCCACTTCTAGGAGGCTTAAATCAGGTAACATTCTAATTGCTACTATGCATATGTCTATCTGCTTTCTAGAACTTGAATACTCAAATATCCAACATTATAGGAGATCAAACATTTTGGTATTTTACAAAACCAGAATAGGAAGATTGATGATGTTCTTCTGTTACATGAAATAAGACCCCAGTAAGGCCAGGTGTGGTGGCTCACGCCTGTAATCCCAGCACTTTGGAAGGCCAAGACGGGCGGATCACGAGGTCAGGAGATCGAGACCATCCTGGCTAACACGGTGAAACCCCGTCTCTACTAAAAATACAAAAAAAAAAAATTAGCCGGGCGTGGTGGCGGGCGCCTGTAGTCCCAGCTACTGGGGAGGCTGAGGCAGGAGAATGGCGTCAACCCGGGAGGCAGAGCTTGCAGTGAGCAGACATCCTGCCACTGCACTCCACTCTGGGCGACAGAGCAACACTCTGTCTAAAAAAATAAAAAATAAAAAATAAGACCCCAGTAAGATCAATGTCATGTATTGTTGATGTAGTGGGAATGGATAAGGAATAGAGAATGACCTCCCTATAGGAAATAATAGGCTAAAAATAGAGAAACTAATTTAGAAATATGTATAATTCTGAAATGCTTTCATGATATTGATGCCATTTAAATTTAAAAAATAACAACAGTAATAAATTGTTGACCATGTAGACCTGAGAGAGCAAAATATGCTACCCAGAGAAGATAGCATGTCCTTGGAAGTGTGCTAGTTTTTTATTTTTTAAGTACACAGCTATCTGTTGGTTTGATTTGAGTATTATTTTAAAAAGAGATGTGACTGTTCTTTAAAATTACTTTAGAATATATGCACATATACTCTTCCCCTTCCTTTTGTGTATATATAGGTAACAGTGACTGCCTTTGTGAGGAGGAGTTGGAGACATAGGTGGATAGGAGGGAGACTTGCTTTTTAAAACTCTTTACCAGGTACATTCACTTCCTTAAATAGTAGCCCTAGTTCAAATGTGTTACAAGTTCATAATGTGAAAGTAAATTTTAGACTTGTTATTCTTCAATGAAAACCATTGCCAATAGTTTTCTTAAAGTTTAGTAGCTGAAAAATAATCTCCTGGGTTGGAACTTTCTCCCAACCATCTGTGTTAATCACAGGTTGAAGATAAACTTTGTAAGTAACACATAAGTTTGTAGTATAGAATCATTAACACTTTAAAAACTTGTTTAAATGCATCTCTTTTTGGATAAATTAAGCATACTATTCTGAAAGCATATTTTGGGAATCATTGATAAAGGCAGGAACACATTTTACTCATTATGCCAAATTGCTTGTAATAATAATGTGAAATATTCTTTTTTTTATCATTTTGGCTTACATTAGACTATGAAAAGAAGAATTTGTTCTCTTGGACACCCTGAGGTTAGGGCTTAACCTCTGCATTCATTATATACAAGGAATTGTAACAAAATCCTACTGAAAAATATGTTTAATAAGAAGAAAACAATGGACATGCAACTTCCCTTGTGGTAGCACAGGAAATCTCTCTTAAATTTCAGTCTGTTCCATCATATAGGTTGTAAGAAACAGATCACGTTTCCCTTATTTACTGGAAATTTAGTGTGAGAAGAATCCATCTTAAACCCAAAGGTAGCATGTATAATAAAAAAAATTTCATAGCTTTCCTTTTCACTTAATAAAATTTATTCCAAAGGTTTTTGTCATTGAAATTAAGTAAATCATGGCTATGTGACTTTGGTAAGTCATTTCACCTCTCTGAAGGTTTCTCCTTATGTGAAAAGAATTATCTAATATCCCTTTGTGATATAAAACATATGGTGATTTCTTATGTGCTGCCAGAGTATATTTCCAAGAAAAATGACTTTTGATAGCAAATATCTAAGAAAACACCCAATTTTATACCAGGAGGAATCTAATTTTATATAGCTGTTCTTGGCAAAAGTAAATAAATTCAAGACTTTAATGAATGGGCTTAGACTTTAGTTTCTAGCCAGGTCTGGATAATTCCGATTTGAGAATAGCAAGAAAACTCATCGAGTTAATCATAAGCTCACTTGAGAAGATGTAGATTTCTTCTACCTCATACTATTAGGAGAAAATACAAAATTTTGTGAAAACAGACATTCCTTGAAATGGAAATTTACCTCATACAAAACAGATTTCTCTTCATTTTATGATATATTGGAACTCGAGTACCTTTTCTTAGACAAAGCATGCTGCTATGACTCTTATGGGAAAGTTCATCATAACTGGGGAGATAAGACAGTTAAAATGCTAACGTGAGCTTTTAATTTTTGTGAAATTAATGGTGAATAAATATATATTTAGAAGAGGGAAGGAGCTCTTCCTTTGAACCTGAGGTAGACTTGAAAAGTCCCACAGAGGAAATAGGATTTTAGCTGGACCTAGAGGATTTGGATCAGTGGTTCCCAAGACTCCTTCCCCTGTCACCCCCAGCATATCTCAAGAATATGACTTAGGCTCAAAGTAGAGATCATTTGGTAGGGGTTTTGAAAAGCCCCTCACCAGTCTGGTGCATACTCCTGGAGGAATTCCTTCGTATGCAAATCACTGATAATAGATGAAGGACAGGAGGAAAATATTGCAGGAAGGGAGCAACATCACTAGATAATATTTTGTTGAGAGGGAAAGGCATGCCATGTTTAGTATCTGTTCCTTTTAAGGAGTTCTGACATGGCTGGGTACGGCAGCTCACACTTGTAATCCCAGCACTTTGGGAGGCCGAGGCAGGTGAATCACTTGAGGCCAGGAATTCGAGACCAGCCTGGCCAACGTGGCAAAACCCCATCTCTACTAAAAATACAAAAATTAGCCAGGCATGGTGGCACACACCTGTAATGTAATCCCAGCTGTTCAGGTGGTTGTGGCACGAGAATCACTTGAACCTAGAAGGCGAAGATTGCAGTGAGCCAACATCGCGCCACTATACTCCATCCTGGGTGACAAAGCAAGACTCTGTCTTAAAAAAAAAAAAAAAAAAAGGGGGTGAGGGTAAGTTCTAACATGAACGTCCTTTCAAAATCTAATCTTCTAAGAGTAAATTTACATTTTCTCTGGGATATTTAAGGTAATGGGGTTGCTAAACTAAATGTCTTAACTTCTGTGGAGGGAATAGAGGGGTAAATCTAGGAAACTCTCTTCTAAGTAATATATGTAAGTTGCCTAATATTATCAATTAATATATGGAACTGTAGCTGGAAAGCCTTAATAAACTTGTCTGACATTCTTTCACTGTCTTCTAATTATTTGAAGATCATAGATCTACATGGTATAAACAACACCTGAGTGTAACTACTCCTTCTGTGTGTGTGTATGTGTGTGTGTGTGTTTGTGTGTGTGTGTGTGTGTGTGTGTATGTATATTGAGACTTAGGAAACTAGACATAAAGGCTGATCTCAATTAACACATTCTCTTTGGGCACCATTGGAATCTGACCCAGTCTATTCAGTATCTAGTGGTGAATGATTACTTGAGTTTGAGCCTTATGAAATGCTATTGATCACTGTATTTAGATAACACCCAACCTTTGGGACTTCAAGAAATTTTAAAGCATACAATGTAAATTCTATGTATATTCTAACTTGGAGAAAACTTGGAACATGGTAATTGGGGGTCATGAGTTAGGTATAAAGATGAACATTCACTTTGTTTATTACTGTTTTTCACTGACACTACTCTAGCTACATCCAATTTCTTGCTGTATTTCAGACATACCACAGCTCTGCTGCACGTCCTTTGCATGAACATCCTTGTTCATCTTGAAGCCCCAATGGTTGGGTGTTATCTAAATACAGTTATCAACTTGTTCTCTCCTCTACCTGGAAAACTTTTCCTCCAAATATTTGTATTGGATTACTTTCCCACTTTCTTGAGGTCTCAGCTGAAATGTCACCTTTTCTGGAGGCTTACACTGACTGTTTTGTTTTTTTTAAAAGAGATGAGGGTCTCGCTCTGTCACCCAGGCTGGAGTGCAGTGGTGTGATCAGAGCTTACTGCAGCCTCAAACTCCTGGGCTGAAGGGGATTACTAAAGGTTCAGGTGATCTCCCTCAGCCTCTCAAGTAGCTGGGACTACAGGCATGCACCACCATGCCTGGCTAATTTTGAAATTTTCTGTAGAGATAGGATCTCACTATGTTGCCCAGGATGGTCTCAAACTCATGGCCTCAAGTTCCTACCTCATCCTCCCAAAGTGCTGGGATTACAAGTGCGAACCACCGTGTCTAGCTGACTGTCCTTTTTTATTATGAAATAGCGAAACCACTCCCTCCACACACTCTTCTCCCCACCCCCCACCATGTATTTATCATTATCTTACATACTATATATTTTTATAATTTTTTTTTTTTTGAGACGGAGTCTCGCTCTGTCACCCAGGCTGGAGTGCAGTGGCGCGATCTTGGCTCACTGCAAGCTCCGTCTCCCAGGTTCAAGCCATTCTCCTGCCACAGCCTCCCAAGTAGCTGGAACTACAGGCGCCCGCCACTGCACCGGGCTAATTTTTTGTATTTTTAGTAGAGACGGGGTTTCACTGTGGTCTCGATTTCCTGACCTCGTGATCCGCCCGCCTTGGCCTCCCAAAGTGCTGGGATTACAGGCGCGAGCCACCATGCCCAGCCTATTACTTTTTTTTTGCCTGTAACTTACCCCGATATAAACCTTATGACAAGGACTTTTTTCTGTTTTAATTCACTTCTATATCCAGGAACATAGAATAATGTCTGGTACTTGGTAGCTGCTAAAAAAAAAAGTTTCATGAATGAATTTGAGTATAAGGAATAATCAAAACTTTGCTTGTCTTCTTGTCTTCTTTTTCCCATCCCTTCCCATACTACCACTGCCGTCTTCACCCCAGGCTACGTCTAATCCAGTTTTCATTCTACTGCAGAGTGATACCATGTTTGATAAGGCTTGACACATTGAAGATACCAAATATTTGTTGAATCTTCAGAAAGATATGCAAATATTGTAGTCTCTGCCAATATTCTTTCCGAGCTATCAGACAAGTCTGAATATCAGAAATGGCAATAAATTATCAGCCTACTTCTTGAATAATAGGTATCCACATTTCTAACTTCATCTTTTTGGTGTGACGAAAAGATTTCAAGGTAGAGGAGTTCTTCTATTCTAATTTTAGACAGACCATTTAATTTCTCTGTGCTTCAGTTCCTGAATTTTACAATGGCATAATGATTATTTACCCTCCTACCTCATAGAAGCAAATGAAACAATGGATGTGAATATGCTTGGAATGGTATTTAAAATTCCTAAGTATAAAGTAATATTCCAGACCACATTTTGCAACTATCAAATACTTAAAACAGGCCCTGAAGGCAACTTTCAGTCCTTTTTTTTTTCTATTTTGGTGCTTGTTGGAAAATAGATCTCCCTACTTTATTGATGAAAGTCTTTGTCAGGAGGTGATAATCTACCACATTTAATAAGGGGTATATCATGTGGGAAAAAAAATGATCATAAAATAAATGCTAGAGCTGTACTGACTATTGGAAAGTTTTCTGTGTTCTAACTACATGTTTCCTTGACCTTGAGATTTAGGAAATTGTATCTCTATGGATTTTTATCATTTAGACTCCTGCATAAACATCAGTATTTAGAAATACCCTAATGAGATTTCCCGTTTCTATTCAATGAGCAAGTACATTTAGATATTTAGATATATAGAGACTAATAAGGATCTGATACCTTTCTGAATCTAGCTAAAGAGAGTAAAAGGAATCATATGTCATTCATCTGAAGAGAGTAGTGACACAATACTTGAGCTGTCCCTGGGTCTGACATACCTAACCCAACTAACTGTTATAGTAACAATAAAAACATATATCTGTTTGGCTTTGTAAAGTTTTGAATTTATATTTTGTGACTTCAGGAATCACGTTGCCTGTTACTCAAATTAAGTCAAAAGGCTACTGTAAAATAGCTTTTCTTAAGGGATGCAGTCTATATGAAAGTCTCCATTCTGGTTTCTAAATTCGCTGAGTGTTTAAACAATATTTCATCTTCTGCCATTAAAGTTGTCAGAAATAGTACTTTTGCTGATAAATGGAAGATTCTATTAGCTTCCAAATATTTTCTGTGTCTATCTCCAAATAAAACAAAAAAGGAAATAACACACCGCAGTTCATACGGTAATCAAATGGTACTCAGCAACCACCTGAAAAGTCATAGAAAAGATGATGGCACACATTCCCAGGAGATGCCCCTCTCTCTTTCCTCCAACCCCTTCTACTCCAGTAAAAGTAGTTCCCTGTAAGAGTCAAAAAAGGAGTAAGCATTGAGAAAGATTGTTCTATCCGTTAGTACCATTCTAATTCTATAGCTTTGAAGACCGTAAAATATATATTAATATCACTTTGGTTCTGTTGTTGGTCATTTCACCCATACTACTCTCCCAAATATACTTTTGCCAAGGTGTTCAGTATTTCAGAATCCAGTTTTCAATTCTTAGTTCTCATCTTAGTTTTCAGCAACCTTTTACATCTTGATCTTTCCCTCCTCAGTGAAACACTTTATTCACTTGCCTTCCAGGATACTATACACCTCACTATCACTAGTCACTCAATCTCAGTCTCCTTTCCTGGTTCCTCATTATCATCCTGTCCTTTGAATTAATATTGCTGTGGCCTAGGCTCAGTTCAATTTACGGCTTTCTTGGTGATTTTATCCAGTCTGTTGGTGTTAAATACCACCTATATGTGAAAATTCTCAAATGTATATTTCCAGCCGTGATCATTCCCTTGTACTCTGGACCTACAGAACTCAGCTGCCTGTTTGACATCTCAGTTAGAATGTCTGACAGACATTTCAAACTCAAAGTATCCAAAACTAAGCTTTTGGTATCATTTCTCCTCCCTGGTTCTCTTGGTCTTCCCCATCTCAGTTAATGGCACCTTGATCCTTCAACTCCGAGATCTTTGAGTTATCTGCGATGCCTCTTTCTTATTCCCAGTATATCAGCAAATTATCTTGGCTCCACTTTTTAAATATACCTAAAATTTGGGTATTAACTACTCATCTCTGCTACCATCTTTTTTCTTCTGTTTTATTGTATTAACCTCCTAGCTAGTCTCCCAGCATCCGTTCTTGCTTAACACATTTTATTAGCCAAAGTGATACTAATAAAACTTAATCCAAATGACGTTATTCCCGTGATCAAAACCCTCCAGTGCCTTCCTTTCTCACTCACTCTTACATGGTATTTAGGGCCCCACATAGTCTGCTCTCCATTAACTCTTTGACATCATATTCTATTTTCTCTTTACTCATTTTATTCTAGCCACACTGGCCCCCTTGCTGTTCTTTGCTAGCTTCCTTAAGTAGCTTAAATTCTAGTTGGGAAGACAAAGCATGAAAGAAGATAAAACTAAGTTGTATTTAATTGTGTCTAAATGTAGGCTATATACAACCGTTCTGAGAGCTGAAAGAGGGGGAAGGTAACCTAAGAAAGCTTGAAGGAGATGAGGTTTGAAAGGTAGATAGGCAGAGAGCCAGTGCTAGAAGAGGAAAAAAAGAATGTCCAGTACTATTTGCTTTATTCTCTGCAGTATTCCTAGAACCTAGAAATGTCTCCACATAGTTCATTTATTGAGTGAATTAATGTGGTAATGAAAGCATAGTACCCTACATGATCAGTGAAAACAACTTGACCAACAGAGTATTTGTCGGCAAAGAAAATGAATGGAGGTGTTTGATGGGGCCAAATCTGGAGAGTTTGGATGCCAGGAGAAAGATTTTAGACTGGTTTAGATAAGTGTTAGAAAACCAGCCCGTGTTCTTTAATAGAAGAAAACCCATGGTGTAAATAGTGTGGTAAGAGGTTTTGCCTAAGATTACAGAGCCATCCAATAGAACTTTCTGTGAGGATGAAACTGTATCTGTATCTGTGATGGCCAGTGTTATAGTCACTAGCCTCATGTGACTTGAAATGCAGCTTATGTGGTAGAGGAACTAAATTTTTAATTTTGCTTAATTTTTATTTTAATTTAACTAGCAACCTGTAGTTAGTGGCTATCATACTGGACAATGCAAGAGAATACTGAATGTTATGGAAAGTGAAGGGATTAGGTTTGAGAGAACAGGTAGTAGGCTTTTAGAGTAAATGATCCATGAATGATGAAATTTAAAAGAGGAAGATACTAGTTATTTAGAAGGAAGGATTAATAGAATTTAATGAAAATAAGATGTAGGAAGGACATGAAGGAAGACTCAGGGTTTTCATTTTAAGCCAAGACTCTGGGTATTGAGGAATCTAAGGAAATAGGAGATTTGGGGCAAGCTGAGGAGTGATTTGTTGGATTGGGTGTAAATTCAAGTTTGGGTATATTATGTTTTTTGATGAAGGTAGAATGGCTAAGTAAAAAGATTTTGTATTTGGAAGTAGAGAATTTAGAGTTAGGTAATGGTGATATTAACTTAGAGGTAATAGTGGAAAAACGGATGGGTGGAAATAGTGGAAAAATAGAGGGGTGGAGGGGTGGAGGTGGTGCTTAGTGTCAAATGCCAAAGAGAAATTAGAGATGAAGATGAATTTGGTTATACAACTATAGGTTCAGTAGAGGAAGAGACCCTGGAGATCATCATCTAACCTGTTCACTTTACAAATAAGGAAAGTGATGTGCAAAGATGTGAAATGGTATGCTTAAATATACAAATCTTGTAATTATCAAATTGAGGGCTTGAACCTAAATTTCCTGCAGACCCCTTCAGTTTACTGCTTTTCTCATTATGTTGGTAAAGTAGTAAAATTTGAGAAATATAATTTTAGTTTAGTAGGATGGACGTTAGATGACAGGGTGATAAGGTAAAAAGATGGGGAAATGGAGTTAGTATGGGCAGCTTCTTTGAGAAGTTTAACAGTGAAAAAAGGGGATCAGAATGGCTTGTAATGGGATGAGGCAGTAAAGTCAAATGAAAGCTTTTTCAATATCAGAAATATGATTGAATAAACTCTGCTGGCATGGCAGCTAAGGATTAAAGTGACAAAGTGGTGTTATCTGTCTCTTGTACTGCTGCCTAGGAAGATGAAGTAATTGATAACTCAAGATTGAAGAGTATAGCAGTAGTGAAGCCAGAAATAGTCTTTAGATCTGTTGAAACTATTCAGTGACCAAACCTCCTTATTGTGTATATACTGAAAAAGAGTAATGCTTTACTGCACATTGTTCCATTTTCATTTAGGATGTAGATGTTGGCGTGATGGGCAGTTTACTTGGAAAGATATGTCTTCATAATATTTCCTTTTCTTGAGGCCTCTTGATCTGCTAAGGTCTGAAAAGAATTCAAAGAGGTAAATCTTTAGCATAAAGACTCTCAGTATGTTTTTAAAACAACTTTTAATTATATAACTACTGCTTTGAGGATATTTACCCATAATATCAAAGGACTAACTACCACATAAATGTATCACGCATACTTATTTGCATCTCTAAAATTTGATGTCATATTGGAAAGAATTTTTAGTGAAATAGTAAATACAGATGATGAGAATGCCACCTGGAGAAAGAGATAATGTGATTGTTAAGAACTCAAGGATTGTTTTATTATATGGCTGTTATTAGAAAAAATGATCTTAAGAAATTACCTTGGCTTTAGCCTGTGTAGAAAATTAAGTATTAAAATATAAGAGATATTTTAATTTTGCAATGCTGACTAGAAGTAAAATCTAAGAAGAAAATTTAACTTTCCTTGGAAGTTACATTTTAGTGTTTAATTTCTGCTACCAATTCATTTCTGAAAGCACATGACCATTCTTAGCTGATTTGCTGCTGCTAGGAAGTCTCTGTATACTGTATTATGATAGAGAATGTTGTGCTGTAATTCATGGAATTCTGAATGAATTGCCAAATCAAGATACGGTTGTTTGATGTGAGGTTCTGGGAAGAAAAAAAGATCCACAAAAAAAAACAAACTACAAAACAAAACCCCTGTTAGGGTGCAGTTAGGTTACTCCATCTGTATTAGTCTGTTCTCATGCTACTATAAAGAACTGCCCGAGACTGGATAATTTATAAAGGAAAAAGGTTTAATTGACTCACAGATCCACAGGGCTGGGAGGCCTCAGGAAACTTACAATCACGGCAGAAGGGGCAGTAAACACATCCTTCTTCACATGATGGCAGGAAGGAGAAGTGCTGAGCAAAAGGGGGAAAAGCCTCATATAAAACCATCAGATTTTGTGAGAACTCACTATCATGAGAACAGCATGGGGAGACTGCCCCCCCCCCACCATGATCTAATCACCTTCCATGAGGTCCCTCCCCTAACATGTGGGGATTACAATTTGGATGACAATTCAAGATGAGATTGGATTGGGGACACACAGCCAGACCATATCACCATTCTTTCTTCCTTTAAAGGGAGTACATTGCCTTGAGAAAATAGTACACTTTTTGTAATTATTCTGGACTATAGGAATTATGAAATTCAACCTGTGCTGAAAGCAGAAAAGGGAAAAGTATCATTACCCTTATTTCATCAGTGATGGAACAAAGGCACCAGTGAAATTGCATAGTGATAAAATAATAACTAGAATTCCTGTCTTTTCTAATTTCATGCTCTTTTGACCTTAGTGTTGAAAAGAAATACTGCTGTATGCCTAAATTGTTTTTTATTGCAGACCCTTGTCTATTAATATACTCTACTAAATGGATTATGAATATTTAGAATCGTGAATACTGTATTTTGCATTTAGAACATTTCAGCTTAGAAGAATATGTCTTGTTTAAGTTTTGCTTGCTAAGCATGTATGACTGGCAGAAGGTCTTTAGCCCTACTGCCCACGTGGTCTGGACAAAAGAACTAGCAGTCTGTTAGAGAAGAACAAAAGAGAAGCAAGGAAAATAATTTTCCTTTGGCCGGAAGATATCACTGGAGCCTTGATCACTAGAGTTTAGGCAACAACCGAAGCAGAGGGAAATCAATAGAAAGTAGTGTGTGCTTGTAGGAAGGAGGCATTTTGGTTGGGGGTTGGATTGCATGGCATGCAAGATAAGGGTTCCCATTGGCCAGTGGCATTTCACCCTCATGTTCCCCAGTGGAATTTAAGTGAGAAATATTCTGGCATTTTTCGTTTGTTTGTTTAATATTTCTGAGGAATCTGTTTATTCTGCACAGATTGCTTTTGTTCTTTATTTTAAAACAGGCAAACCTCTTGACTCTGGGCATAACCAAAGGGTATAATTAATAAAATAAAAGCACACAAAAGAGAACTAATTGGGCTGTGATACTGTACTTCTAATCTGTCTAGTTTTAGAAAAGTCAAGAGGTCTTGGTCTAGAATAAGATAGGCCTAAGGATTTTGTATTTTGAGGGGTGGGCAAATATGTTGTCTTTCTCTGGGATTGGGAGTCACATTACCTTGCACTGAAGTGAGTCTGGTGATGTACTTTTAAGTCATTTAAATGCTTTTGTGCCTTTGCTGAAATCAAACTGGAATCTTGGAAGAGACCTTGAGATGTTACCTCTAAGTAGTTTTCCCCATAAACAATCCCATTCTTTTGTGAATTTAGTATTCTCCAGAATAGATACGGATTTTCAAATCAGATTATTCCACTAGGATGATTACTCTAAATTGCTCTAGTATGCTTGTGTTTTTATACTGTGTTTTTGATCAGTCAAAGGAAGATTTTCTTTATAGTAGTGGCTGTAATTTATTGACGGCCTATCGTATTGCAGATATTGTATTTAGCACTTTATAAACAAGATCTTGTTTAATCCTCCCAGCACTTGTGATACTTAAGATTCAGATTGAGACTTCTCTCCAAATCACACTTAGAGAAGATTATACCACTCTTTGAACAGTTATTAGATAGTGTTTGGCCTATTTTATTGATTAATTTGATAGCCCAACTCCTGGCATAGTTCCTGGTACATGGCAAACAATACGTTCGTTGAATGTATACCTGACTCGATTGACCACAAGCTTTTCCTTAATGCCAAGCTGCCTTTTTAATGAAGAATACTCAGGTTGGGTACAGTAGCTTATGCCTATAGTCCCAACATTTTAGGAGGCTGAGGTGAGAGGATTGCTTGAGGCCAAGAGTTTGAGACCAGCCTGGGCAATATAGTGAGAACCCATCTCTACAAAAAAATATAAATAAAAATTAGCTAGGCATGGTGACTACTACACCTGTAGTCCCAGCTACTTGGGAGACTGAGGCAGTAGCATCCCTTGAGCCTTAAAGGTTGAGGCCACAGTGACCTGTGATGACACTACCATACTCCAACCTGGGTGATAGAGCGAGACCCTGCCTCCAAAAATAAATAAGTAATAAAGGAATATTCTTGTATACCATCTAGCACTTTGGGAAACTTTTCTGATTTTCCTTTTTTTCTCTGGCCCTTCCTATTTGGGTGCCCCTCTTCTGCTCATCTTTTGAATGTTCACATTCCTCTGGGCTTTGTCTTAGGCCCTCTTTTATTCTCTCTATATACTTCCCATGGGTAATACCTATTTTCTTTGGCATTATTTGTCTTTACATGTGGAAGATGCCCAAATCAATATCTCCAGTTAAGATCTTCCTTCTGAGCTGAGCTTTAGTTTCATACATTTTATTCACTTATTTATTTAATTCAGCAAACATTTATTGAAAACCAACTCTATGCTATTTACATAAAGTGTAGCAGTGAAAAAGATAAACAAGATTTCTCTTCTCATAGAACTTACATGGTAGGGAATAAATAAGTTTACAAATTCTGGTAAGTCCTAGAAAGACAAATCAAGGTAATGTGATAGAAAGTGGTTAGAGAAAGATTCTGTGACGAGGTGATATTTGAGATGAGATCTAAAGGCAAAGAGGCAAGACTGTGTGTCTTGGGAGAGAGGAGGAGTAAAAGGGAAGTGGGGCAGTTCCTTAGTGCAAAGGCCCTAACAACGGGAGAACTTGACCAGTGTAGATGAGGCTTAATGTGAGAGTAATTGATAAAGATGAAGGGTATGTGTCATCCAGGGATTTCTTTGGCTATGATAAGGAGTTTGATTTCATTCTGAAATTCAATAGGAAACCTTTAATGGGTTTAAATAGGGAATCTGATGATCTGATTTATATTTTTAAAAGATCTGTCTGGCTACAGTATGGAGCACATGGAGGGAGATAATGATGCCTTGCATTAGGGTGGTAACAGTATTCCTGAGATGAAGAGAGGTGGATAGATTTCGGCTATATTTTAAAGGTAGATTTGATAGGATTTGGTAATGGATTGAATGTGGGAAATGAGGAAAAGAACCAGTTGCCTACTTGACAGCTTTTCTTAGATATTTCATGTTTATCCAATATTTAACGTGGTTGAACCTGCTCACCTTTCCCTCCTCTTTCTTTTCCCAACCCCAGTTCTTTTCCAGTGTTTATCTTATTAAATGTTACCCACGATGTGTACCCAGTGGCTTAAGACAGAATCCTGGCTATTATGTTTAATTTCTTTTTCTTTTTTTTCGAGACAGGGTCTTGCCCTGTCACCCAGGTTGGAGTGCAGTGGCATGATCATAGCTCACTGCAGCCTTGAACTCTTGGGCTCAGACAGTCCTCCCACCTCAGGCTCCTCCCAAGTAGCTGAAACTGCAGGCATGTACCACCACACCTGGCTAATTAAAACATTTTTGTTGTTGTGGTTAAGATGTGGTGGTGGGGTTGTCATGCTTTGTTGCCCAGGCAGGTCTCGAACTTGCGGGCTCAAGTGATCCTCCTGCCTCAGCCTCCCAAAGTGCTGGAATTACAAATGTGAGCCACCACACCCAGCCTTCAATTTCTTATCTGCATACACCCCCACCAAGCCAGCAAATGTCATTGATTCTACTTTCTAAATATTCTCGAGTAGCAGGTATTGTTCAGTGAGTACTCTTGTCTCTGTCCCCAGCATAGTACCTGGATCCCTGCAGCAGTCTTCTAGTGGTCTCCTTGCCTTCTATATTATCCCCCCTGTCTAATTCATTCTGGATGCTGCAGACAGGTTTAATTATGGCATTTTTCTGCTGAAAATTCTTCATTACCTCCCTTAGGATAAAGTTCAAACTTCCTAACATGATCTGTAGAGATTCTTTATGACCTGGCCTCTGCTCTTCAGCCTCACATTTTACCATTCACACCCTTGCTCCCCACAGCCACACAAAACTACTATTTATTTCTTAGTAGTCTAGCTGTTTTACACTCGTTCCCTTTTCCTGGTCTTCCCATTGCCTATTCTCACTTCCATTTCCCCACAAAACAAGCACACATTAAAAAAGAAACTCCTAAGGTCCCTTGGGTCTTAGCCTAGGTGTCATTTCTCCAAAGAGGTTTCTGATCTGCCAGCTCTAGGTTAGTTGCCCCTCTTTTGTATTCTCTTAGTACCCTGTATTAGTTCCAACCATGATACTGTCTCACTGTTTTGAATTGTGTCTGTTTTCCACTAGACTGAAAGCTTCATGAGGGCAGGGACAGTATCTTCCATGTTCACCATTTTATTTCCAGCTTCTAGATTCTTAACATACATTTATTGAAGGTGAGCTGTGGGAAGAAAGGTAGTATATTAATAGAATATTCATAGCATTTTTTTAGGTATGATAATTTATACAGCCTATTGATACTTTTCTAGAAAGAATATTAAACATATTTAGTTCATAAGGAAACTGATACCTCTGTACTATATAATAAACTGGTCAGTGCCCTAAATATTATTCTCAGAAGTGGCCCATAAGTCTTTTCCACATGACCCAGCAGTGTATATGTAATCACAAAAGCCAAGAAACAAAGGTGTTTCAGCTTGATATCTTTCCTCCTCCAGACCTAGAATTGGCTACATTTCTCCAAGGAGCCCTGGTTTCTTTCAGTGGAAAATAATATTTAGAGACCATTTAAAGCATGAGGTATGCTCATTACTGTTATGTTGTGCCAATATGACAACTGAAAACAGTTAATTTTTTTTGTATTTCATTTGTCTTTAAGGTATACAATATAATAATTTTTTAAATTTTAGTTTTTTTAGAGATAGTGTATCTCTATTGCCCAGGCTGGAGTGCAGTAGCACAATCATGGCTCACTGCCACCTCCAACTCCTGAGCTCAAGTGATCTCCCACCTCAGCCTTCCAAGTAGGTGGGACTACAGGCAAGTGTTACCATGCCTGGCTAATTTTAAATTTTTGGTAGAGACAGGGTCTCACTATATTGCCCTGGCTGGTCTCAAACTCCTGGGCTGAAGTGATTCTCCCATCCCAGACTCCCAAATTGCTGGGATTACAGACATGAGCCACCTCGCCCAGCCGGTAAAAATATTTTTTAAAGTAACTTGAAATAATTCTGTCTGTGTTGTTAATTTATGAACTTGATATTGTTGGGCTTATTTGTTCTCTTTCACTTTTTGCATTTAGGGATTTTTTTTCCATTTTGCTTAAATTTGGCTTTATAAATTAAATAGAGCATTTACATGGCTTCAAATTCAAATCTACAAAACAAAGTACGTTCAGAGAAGTCTAGCTCTTTCCTTGTCCTTCTGGTTTATTTTCTGAATTGACAGCTTTTTTTCCCCCTAGCTTTGCTTTCTATTAAAGAAAAGTACAAACAAATGTGTAAATATATTTATCCTCTACCCCCCTTCGCCTTCCCACACAAACACCCACACATGTGCAAGAATTTTTGAAGAAAAATGGCACTATACTTTTATAGTACACTTGTTTCTTTTTAGCTTGATATATTCTGGAGATCTCACTTTAGCAACATAGAGAAGTAATCCTTATTCCTTTTTAAAGTTGCATGGTATTCCATTGTGGGATTAGACGATAGTTTATTCAACCAGACCCCTCTTTTTGGACATTTGTGTTGTTTCTGGGCTTTTATGTTTACAAATACTATTACAGTGAATAGGCTTGTTTATGTACATTTTTATAGTCTTTGCCAGTATGTCTTTGGGTTAAGTTGCTAGAGTGAGGGTAACTTTGCTGGATTCTAAGATATTTCCATCGAAAGAGGTTATACTATTTTGCATTCCTACCAACAGTTTCTGAGAGTGTTATTTTCTCACTATTTTACCAACAGAGTAGGTTGTAACTTTCACATTTTTGTCAATCGGTTAGGTGAGAAGTGGTATCTCAGTGTAATTTTAATTTATATCTCTCTTATTGTGAGCAATGTCTAGTATCTTTTCATATGTTTAAAGGCCGTTTATTTTTTTTCTGTGAATCAGTTTTTTTTTTTTTTTTTTTTTTGAGGCGGAGTCTTGCTCTGTCACCCAGGCTGGAGTGCAGTGGCACGATCTCGGCTCACTGCAAGCTCTGCCTCCTGGGTTCACCCCATTCTCCTGCCTCAGCCTCCTGAGTAGCTGGGACTACAGGTGCCCGCCACCACACCCAGCTAATTTTTTTGAATTTTTTTTTTTTAGTAGAGACGGGGTTTCACCGTGTTAGCCAGGATGGTCTTGATCTCCTGACCTTGTGATCTGCCTGCCTCAGCTTCCCAAAGTGCTGGGATTACAGGCGTGAGCCACCATGCCTGGTATGAATCAGTTGTTTTAATCTCTATAGCATTATGGATCTTTTTCTTTGTATAGAAAAATATATAAAGAAAAATAATTTTCTTTTCTTTTTTTTGAGACACACTCTCCACTCTATCGCCCAGACTGGAGGGCAGTGGCACGACCTCGACTCACTTCAGCCTCCTGGCTTTAAGCAATCCTCCCACCTCAGCCTGGGACCACAGGCATCCACTACCATGCTCAGTTAACTTTGTTTATTTTTTGTAGAGAAGAGGTCTCTATGTTGCCCAGGATGATCTCAAACTCCTGGGCTTAAGCTATCCTCCCACATTGGCCTTCCAAAGTGGTGGGATTACAGGTGTGGACTGCCACACCTGGCCAAAGTTTTTTATTTTAGTAAATTGCAAATATCTTTTGCATTAACATTTTTGTCTTCTTGTCCTCCACACTTGAGGAGTTCTTCTATTTTGTAATTAAAATGTCTTGTATATCTGTACTTTCTTGCCTGTTTCCATTGCCACTAATGTAATTCAAACCAACATCACTTCCGACAAGACAATTAAGGTAGCTTTCTAACTAGTTTCTCCATCTTCAGCTTTCCCAAATTCCAAATTCGTTTTGCCAGTACACCACATCAATTGTTTTTTCTTCTTCTTCTTTTTTTTTTTTTTTTTTTTTTTTTGAGACAGTGTCTTGCTCTGACGCCCAGGCCGAAGTACAGTGGCATGATCATGGCTCACTGCAGCCTTGACCTCCTGGGGCCAAGTGATCCTCTCACCTTAGCCTCTCTAGTAGCTGGGACCACAGATGCGTGCCACCACACCCAGCTTATTTTTGTATTTTTTGTAGAGACAGGGTCTCACCATGTTGTCCAGGCTGGTCTCAAACTCCTGGACTCAAGCAATCCACCTACCTCCGCCTCCCAGGGTGCTGGGATTACATGTGTGAGCAACCGTGCCCAGCCCACATAAATCTTTCTAAACTGTGTCTGTGATAGTCTTTTCTCCTGCCATACACTTTTTAGTGGTTCTCTTTGTACTCAGAATGTAATTCATATATTTGAACTTACAAGCCCCTTCAAAACTTAGCACCATTTAGCCCAACTTTGCAACCTTATTTTTCAAATATGGGCCAAATATTCAGCCAAACTGAATTGTTCATTGTTTCTTTTTGCTCCTCATTTGTTCACTTTGTTTTTCACTCAGGTTTTCCTTTAAGCCAGGATCATTTTATTCTTCTTTTCCCTTCCCAGCCCATCCCCAATCTCCTTATCCAAATTGTACCCACTCTTTATGCCAAGACCAGATGCTACCAAATCTCACTAGGGTCACATTGATTTCTGAGAGTATTCTAGCTGGGGACCATTAGAAATAAGGAAGTATTAGAGGGATAGCTGTCAGGGATTCAGGGATTTTGATGCTTAATTGGATTCTGGTGGTATCACATTGACAGAAAAATATTAACACGTATTTTCTTAATTGATTTGACCAGTCTCTCGAGATATTTCTGTTGTCCACATCTCTTCAATTTTTATTAGAATTTTAATTATGACTGTTTAGGGAACCAGAAATTTAATTTCATTTTAACCTAACTGTACTCAGTCTTTTTCTTCAGTTGTACGAATTGCATTTGCAAATGTAAATTTGTGCAGTATCCCTGAATCCAAAGTCAGATTATGCATCCTATGGGTATGAGGAAATTTCCACACTCTCCAGATTCTCTAAATGGATGATGTTTTAGAATTAAAATCTATGGTTTAGGAGTGTTTTTGTAGTCTTCCAAGTGCTAATCATTTTATCTATTTTATTTTATTTTATTTTATTTCATTTCATTTCATTTCATTTCATTTCATTTATTTTATTTTATTTTATTTTATCTTAAGACAGGGTCTTGCTCTGTCACCCAGGCTGGAGTACAGTGGTGTGATCACAGCTCACTGCAGCCTCCGCCTCCTAGGCTCAAGCAATCCTCCTGTCTCAGACTCCTGAGTAACTGGGACTGCAACCTCTACCTCCTGGGCTCAAGCAATCTTCCTATCTCAGCCTCCTGAGTAACTGGGACTACAGGTGTGCAACACCATGCCCAGCTAATTTTTGTATTTTTGGTAGAGATGGGGTCTCACTATGTTGGCCAGGCTGCTCTCCAGCTCCTGGCCTGAAGTGATCCTCCTGCCTCAGCCTCCCAAAGTGCTGGGATTACAGGTGTGAGCCACTGCATCCAGCTGAAACATTTTTTCTTAATGCCTCAATAAATACGTATAGTTAGAATTTTTTTGCTCTTTAATTGGACCTGAGATAAATACAAGATCCCTTGAAGCCCCAGATAGTTATCAACCTTAGAGTTGCTTCCCAAGGACAGTGTTCTCCTTTAATAACATATAAGAAACAAAAGTTCAATTTTGCTTCAGAAATGCAAGGTAGGCCATTTGAATTTGTGACACGTGACAAAATGAGTTAACAGTATGGTGGCTGAAATAATCCTTTGGTAATCATCACTTTATAGAAATATCTTTAATTGCTAAAGGAAAGGGTAGACAAATTCTTCTCCGTTGCTTTTGGTCCAAGTAGGGCTTCTGATTAATACTGAAGAGCATTTAAAAAGTACTTTTGCCGTTTCGCTCTTTAAATCAGTATAGCTTATGTCCCCTGAGGAGTGTGGTTTAATTATTCTTGGTTCATTTTTACCCCAGGCCAAAAGTAGAAATGTAAAACATACAAGTTTTATGTTATTTCCAGATGTTAGTGTAAGAACATTAAGTGGATGGGGTCTAATGTGGATTTGCTTTAGATTAGGGGTGTCCAATCTTTTGACTTCCCTACACCACATTGGAAGAAGAAGAATTGTCTTGGGCCACATATAAAATACACTAACGATAGCTAATGAGCTTGAAAAAAAATTGCAAAAAAAAAAAAAAAAATCTCATAATGGGCTGGGCGCAGGGGCTCACGCTTGTAATCCCAGCACTTTAGGAGGCTGAGGCAGGCAGATCACCTGAGGTCATGAGTTCGAGACCAGCCTGGCCAACATGGTGAAACCCCGTCTCTACTAAAAATACAAAAATTAGCCAGGTGTGGTGTCGTGCCCCTGTAATCCCAGCTATTCAGGAGGCCGAGGCATGAGAATCGCTTGAACCCGAGAGGCAGAGGTTGCAGTGAGCCGAGTTCGCACCACTGCACTCCAGTCTGGGTGACAGAGCGAGACTCCGTCTCAAAACAAACAAAATCCTATAATGTTTTAAGAAACTTTATGAATTTGTGTTTGGCTGCATTCAAAGCCATCCTGGGCCACGTGCGGCCCGCTGGCAATGGGTTGGACAAGCTTGCTTTAGATGATCAGATTTGGCAGGGAGGTGTGAAGGGCTTGAAAGAAGAAATTATAAAGTTCCTGTTACTCCCTTACCTTCTCCTGGCTCTGTATCTAAAGTATGCTGTCAAGTTCTTTACCCCTCACTTTCTTCCCTTACGATATTGTGAACTCTGTGAGGTCAGGGTTGAGGCTGATTTATCTGCCTATCTCCAGTGAGTGCAGGGATAAATCAGGAGCCTAACCCTAGTCATTGTTGACAAGCTTCTGTTTAGCCTTAGGGAGGTCATACTACAGCTCTTTTTGTCTGTTTTCAAAAGGATTAAATAGAAAAATCATAGTTTCTAGAGACAGAGGAGACCTTGAAGATTACATAATCCACCTTTATTTTACAGATGAAGAAACTGTGCCTGTCTGGCTCTTCTAAATATAAGAATACATATACTTTGAATTAAATAAATAGCAGTGTTATATTTTATCCTCATTTTCTCTTGTGGGATGTATTTCATTCGGGACTATGTGCACAGTCCTAAACCAGATCCATGTTTTTCTTTGCAATTTAGTGCTCAAACTGTATTCATGAGAAAAAGAATGGATGGTTTAAGTTTCTCAGGGCAGAGGACAATAGAGAGGGGAACAAACAGAATCTAATCAGTGGGACTTACAATAAATGAAAACAGGATACCTTAGATCTAGTTGCTTAAATCAGTTCTCACTAGGTACTTCTCACTAAACTTGTTTTTGTATAAACTTGCAGACATATTAAGATCTTTATTTCTAAATATATGGGCATTTAAAAAATGATTTTCAGAAGTTGTTTGGATTTAGGGACTCCTTAAATTTTATTTTGTAATGAAACATCTTCATACTCGATTGTGAGGGATACCTATGTCCTGGCATCTATTATAACATACCGAAAGCAAACTGAAATATGTTTTTTGTTTGTTTGTTGAGACGATATTGCTCTGTCACTCATGCTGGAGTACAGTGGTGCAGTCATACAGTGGTGCAGTCATGGCTCACTGCAGCCTCCACCTCCCGGGCTCAGGCAATCCTCCCACCTCAGCCTTGCAAGTAACTGAGACTACAGATGCATACCACCATGCCCAGCTATTTGCATTTTTTTGTAGAGATGAGGTTTCACCATGTTGACCAGGCTGGTCTCAAACTCCTGGGCTCAGGTGATCCTCTGGCCTCAACCTTCCAAAGTGCTAAGATTACAGGCGTGAGCCTCTGGGCCTGGCCTGAAATATGTATTTATTTTTTAAGTTGGGGGTGATTATTTACTTTGCAAAAGAATGTTTCCCTTTAGTAAAGCATTCAAATGAAGTACCGATACATGCTATAACAAGGATGAACTTTAAAAACATAAGTGAAAGAATCCAGACACAGAAAGTCACATATTGTAAAATTACATTTTCATGAAATATCCAGAATAGGCAAATCTAGAGAGACAGAAAGTAGATTATTGGTTGTTTAGGGCCAGGGGAATGGAGGAATAAGAGGATGATTGCCAAGGATCAAAAGGTTTCTTTGAGGGGATGTAAATATTCTAAAATTAACCGTAGCCTGGGCAGTATAGAAAGATCCTGTCTCTACAAAAAAATTTAAAAATTAGCAAAGTGTGGTGATGTGCACCTGTAGTCCTAGCTACTCAAGAGGGTGAGGCAAGAGCTTTGCTTGAACCCTGGAGTTCAAAACTGCAGCAAGCTATCACTGCACTACTGCACTCCAACCTGGGCAACAGAGCAATACCGTCTCCAATTTAAAAAAAAAAAATTGACTGTGGTAATGGTTGCACACTTCTGTGAATGTGCTGAAAGTTGTTGAATTGTATACTTTAAATGGATAAATTATACAATGCATGCCTTGTATCTTTTTTTTTTTTTTTTTTAAAGACAGCGTCTCACTGTCGCCCAGGCTGGAGTACAATGGCACCATCTCGGCTCAGTGCAACCTGTGCCTCCCGGGTTCAAGCGATTCTGTTGCCTCAGCCTCCTGAGGAGCTGGGATTACAGGCCCCAACCATTATGCCCTGCTAATCTTTGTATTTTTGTAGAGACAGGGTTTCACCTTGTTGGGCAGTCTGTTCTCGAACTCCTGGCCTCAGGTGATCTGCCCACCTCGGCCTCCCAAAGTGCTGGGATTACAGGTATAAGCCACTGTGCCCGGCCATGAATTGTATCTCAGTAAAGCTATTTTAGAAACAATTTATCATAAGATTTATTTAAATAGCGCTGGGCACGGTGGCTCACACCTGTAATCCCAGCACTTTGGGAGGCTAAGGCGGGCAGATCACTTGAACCCAGGAGTTTGAGACCAGCCTGGGCAACATGGCAAAACCTTATCTCCACTAAAAATACAAAAATTAGCCAGGTGTGGTGTTGCACGCCTGTAGTCCCAGCTACTAGAGAGGCTGAGGTGGGAGGATCACTTGAGCCCAGGGGGTAGGCTGCAGTGAGCGGAGATTGTGCTGCTACACTCCAGCCTGGGCGATAGAGTGAGGCCCTGTCTCAATAAAAAACAAAAAAACAAAACAAAACCCATAAGATTTGTTTAAATAGTGAGCATTGTCATACAATCTAAATAACCATTTGATTTTTAATAATAGCTAACATTTGTTAATTGCTTATCATGTGCTAGGCATTGTGCTAAATACTTTAAAGCCTACATTTGCTTGCATTAGGGTTTAGTTTATATACAGCAATGTTTCAGCAACACAGTCATCTTTGTATTCTCTGTGCATGCTAGCTCAGAGCCTTACAAATGCAATAAACTCAAAATGTTTGCATGAGTGAAAGAATGAATGAATGAATGAATGAATGAAATGCTCAGAAACAGATGTCCTGGCATGGCATCTCAACACATCAGGGCGTTGCTGTCTCCTTATCTTTGTGTCAGTCTTCTCTCAGGCCTACTAAACAATTCTGGCTCATACAGGGATTAGGGGAGAAATTATTCTGACTTGCTTTT